>NT_187556.1:300000-600000 GCF_000001405.40 Homo sapiens
AAGGAGCTTCCACCAGAAAATAAATCAATGCACTACTCCTTCATCAAAAAAGTCTTTCTAAGAAAAAAATTGTCAGCTGAGCCAAACGGTGTGCTTAGTGGTATAGTTCACATTCTGGTGCAAACTTCCTAATTCATTGGGGATAAATAAGAAACATGGACCAGAAACCAGTTCACAGATGACACTTTGAGGATCACTGCTCTAGTCTAGACCTCAACATGACAGAGATCAGATATTGTCTTGATAAAAGACAGCAAAGTTGTACTGCTGACCCTCTGGGCAAAGGTGAGGTGTTACAGGTTATAGTTACTGATGGAAACTAAAAAGAAAGCATTTGCTAGGTCAGTAGGTTCATATTGCATGCCAGAAGCTGATGTGTTTTAGTAAAGGTACCAGCCATTTCTTGCCTCAGATTTCCAGGTTTCAATTTCCCCAGGGCAAAAAGTCTGTCTATGCAACTCATCAAATATATAAGTGACTCAACTCCATATACGATTTGATGAACTGTGTTTTAGGGGAACTTCTGGAACCAATTACAGTATAAGTCAAGAGTTCAGCAGGAAATTGATGGCATACTCAAATAGTTAATTGAGGGATTTTTGTTGTTGTTGTTGTTGTTGAAAAGACTATTTACAGTAGTACCAATAAGGGTTGGTAAAGCACCCAAGAAGTAACAAAGCTATAAGTTATCATCCCTGGGCCTGAATGGAGACAAGAATAAAGCAGTGTTACTGGAACCTGGAGGGCTGAAGTTATGGGGCAAATGGCTCCCTCCCAGGACATTGATAGAGGAATTGCAGCCATTATAAAAAATGTGGACCAGTATGGGGAATGTACCACCTCCCTTTCCTCCCACCAGCTGGTCTTTTGTTGGTGCCTTGCCTTGGCCAAACCAACTCTAAGGCAGAAAGCAAGGGACCCCGGGTGATGCAGATTCAAGAAGTTAGCCTCCCATAACAGAGAGCCAAGTAGAGAAGGGCAGAGACTGATGCTTAAGAGGCAAATAGAGAATAACATTCATTCATACATAAGAGAAAGTTTTGATAAAACAGGTTATATCTCCACAATCAAATATCATACAGTAATTTTTAAAATGAACTAGATTTCCAATGTAAATAAATCTCAAAAACATATTAAGAGAAAAACAGTAAGCAGCAGCAGGGTACCCACAGTCTAACATTTACATAACATTTAAAATCCAGTAAAACCATATTTTATGGATATATAAATATGGAGGAAAAAGATGTTCTTGCAGCTGGGAATGCAGTTCTGTATACATTAGTGTTATGGGTTGAATATATCTGAAAATATCCCCATTCTACCCTCACAACTTGAATAATTTGGCTGGGTGTGTTTTATATTGCTGTATGTTGTGGGTTGGGCTGTGTCCTCCAAAAATATATGTTGTCTGAATCCTCAGCACCTTAGAAGGTGACCTTATTTGGAAACAGAGTCATTCCATATACTACTAGTTAAGTTAAAACGAGGTGATACTATGTATGACATATCACTGTGCAGTATGACTAATATCATAAGAGGAGAAGAGACATTGGGAGAACAGCATGTGAAGATGGGGGCAGAGATTGGAGTGATGTGGCTACAAGCCAGGAATGCCAAGGATTGGAAGCTAGGAAGAGGCAAGGAAAGATTCTCCCCCTACAGGTTTCAGAGGGAAAATGGCCTTGCCAATACCTTGATTTCAAACTTCTAGCCTCTAAGAACTGAAAAAATAAATTTCTGTTGTTTTAAGCCACCCAGTCCGCAATACATTGTAATGGCAGTGCTGGAAGTCTAGTACATTCTCAGGACTCTTAACCCAAGATGAGTGACATGCTTCGAGGCTATCCAGCTCTGACGGGTACAGATGGATGACTCAGTACATCTCGATCTTTCAGTCAAGGGCATCTATTTGTTTCCTGGCTGGTGTCCTTCAGGCCCCAGCTGTGCAGACACAGTTTGGCTCTATTCTCTCCCATCTTCTCTGGTACCCCCCAGGTCACACAGTTTCAGCCCCCGCTCACTACTATGGCTTTCTCCATTTTTCTTTTTTGGAAAAGCCTCTCTATTTCTGATTTATGAGATTTATCTTTCTAGTTTTCACAGTAAGCTCTATATTTATAAAGTATGTTTGTATGTTGTTATCATTTATGCGTTTGGACTGGAATGGAAGAAGATTTTGTTTATGTTCAATCCGTGATATTGAACTGGATGCATGCCATAGTCTCCTTAGGCCCAGATTTATTTTTTGTTTCTCATGGTCCTGAGTCAATTTACTTACTAAACTGCTCATTGAATTCAGGAATACTGTAAATGAAGTGCCAAAGTACTTAGGGGAATGAGCTATCCAGTGTACTCAAAGGATAATCCTGGAAAGTTCCCAGGAGCCGATGCCTTGGGGTTTCATTTATTTGTCTGCTTTTTCAGAAGCAGAAACACTGTATGATGTAGTGGGGAAAACACAGGAGAAGAAGGAAGCATGGATTCTAGGCCTGGCTTAAACTATGTCTAATAAACATTTATTGAAACTTACCATGTGCAATGCAATGCATTAAGCTCTGGATTATGCAGTGTGAGGATGTAGAGAATGAAAGACAGTGATGAATAATATATTCAAAATCCTGGCTCTGGCTTGCAAACTCCGGACACTGTGGACCACTTTCACTGACCTCATGTACCACTGTCAGTGTGCTCCAGCCTTACTAGCCACTTGCTCTTTCCTATACACATCCAACCTCTTCCTATTTTAGGGCCGTGGATTGAAAGAATCCTTTCCCTTATTCTTTTAGGAGATCCAGGTCACTTGTCGAAACATCACCATTTTTGAAATCACTCTGCTTAGCACATATTACTATCCAACATTTGTCTTGTTTATTTGAAGTATATATTTTGTTGGTCTTTCTGCTTTCCTTCTCTGGATTTATTTCCATGGGCATTGTTTTAGACAGCACAAGATTTTGATTTAAACACTGTTTCATATTCCCTTTCCTTTGCATACTTCTGTTAGGTTGGTGCAAATGTAATTGAGGTTTTTGCATTGTTAGAACTTGCCATTTGATATTGGAATACATTCTTAAATAAATGTGGTTATATCATACATCATTTTAATGGGCATTTCTGGCTTTATGTTTTTTTCTTTTTTTGCTAATGACTTTTACTTGCTATTTATTTTAGACTATGGAAATGATGTTAGACAAAAAGCAAATCTGAGCGATTTTTTATTTGAGTTCAGTATTGGTCGTAAAGCAGCAGAGACAGCTTGCAACATCCACAACGCATTTCGTTCGGGCACTGCTAATGAACATACAGCGCAGTGGGGGTTCAAGAAGTTTTGCCAAGGAGAAGAAAGCTTTGAAGATGAGGAGTGTAGTAGCTGGCCATTGGAAGTTGACATCCACCAACTGAGAGCAATCATTGAAGCAGATCCTTTTACAACTACATGGGAAGTTGCTGAAGAACTCAATGTTGGCCATTCTACGTCGTTCGGCATTTGAAGCAAATTGGAAAGGTGAAAAAGCTCAATAAGTGGGTGCCTCATGAGCTGAGTGAAAATAAAAAAAATCATCGTTTTGAGGTATCATCTTCTCTTATTCTATGCAACAACAATGAACTATTTCTTGATCGGATTGTGACATGCGATAAAAAGTGGATTGTATATGACAACTGGAGAAAACCAGCTCAGTGATTGGACCAAAAAGAAACTCCAAAGCTTCTTGCACCAAAAGAAGATCATGGGCACTGTTTGGTGGCCTGCTGCCAGTCTGATCCACTACAGCTTTCGGAATCCCAGCAAAACCATCACATCTAAGAAGTATGCTCAGTAAATCAATTAGATGCACCGAAAACTGCAATGCCTGCAGCCGACATTGGTCAACAGAAAAGGCCAAATTCTCATGATAATGCCCAACCGCACATCAAACAACCAGTGCTTCAAAAGTTGAATGAATTGGGCTACGAAGTTTTGCCTCATCCGACATATTCACCTGACCTCTTGCCAACCGACTACCTGTTCTTCAAACATCTCAACAACTTTATGCAGGGAAAACACTTCCACAACCAGCAGGATGCAGAAAATGCTTTCCACTACAGATTTTTATACTACCAGAATAAACAAACTTATTTATCATTGGCAAAAATGTGTTGATTATAATGGTTCTGATTTTGATTAATAAAGATGTATTTGAGCCTAGTTATAATGATTTAAAATTCATGGTCCAAAACCACAATTACTTTTGCACTAACCTAATACCCCAGTAGTAAGAAAAGGACTATACTGCAAAAGGGTACTTTCTCCATTTGAAAAAGAGATTATGGACTCAGGGGTTAAAGGTTACAAAATATTTTTTTCTCTAGATTCAATACATGAGATTTATTTATTTAGATCATCTACCACTGGAGGGTGGTTCAAAAATTTTTTAATTTTATATTGGATATCGTTGGATGATCTGGTGCATCATACATGTAGTGGGGCATATCTTTGGAAATATGTTAGAAGCGTGTATCTGAACATACACACACATGTGCATGTGTATCCCTGGCTTCCTAGAAATGGTGGCTTCCTGGATCCAGATGGATCCCTCACATGGCTGTGCCTGTGCTTCCTGGCCCTGGTTGACTGGACCAGTGATACAGGCAGCTGAAACAAGGAATGAAAGTAGTAGAGGTTCTTCTCAATATTACAGCCAATGAAGCAATCACAGTTTTCTGCTTTCCTTCTCTGACATTTTGGCTTTATTGATCTTGAAATTTTATTTCTCAGAGGACCCAGTAATGGTTTCATTGAGCTGGAAGTTGACTCTGCCGGCTGGGCTTCAAGGCTCCTTTTGAGTTAAACAATAGACCAATAGACATGGGAGTGGACAGGGGTGTCGGGTTTTTGTACTGATTGGGTGATTGCTACTAATTGTCAAGTACACGGTTGCTGGGGCCAGGATAACTGTTTAGAATTCAAGGGCTTTTCTGGAGCACCTCTGTTGTGGCTTGAATGGTGCTCCCCACCCCCAATCCCGAAAAGATGTGGCTTTCTAGACCTGTGAATGTAATATTATTTGGAAAAAGGGTTTTTTCTTTTTTGCACTTTTAATTAAAGTAAGGATCTTGAAATGAGATCATCCTGAATTATCAGGGTGAGCCCTAAATCTGATGACAGGTGTCTTTGAAGAAGACATGGATCAGAAGAGGAGAAATGCAGAGGAGTAGTCCATGAGAAGGTGGAGGCATAGATTAGGGTGATACATCTACAAGTCAAGAATGTTAAAGATCCAAAGAATGCCAAAGGTCACCGGCAGCCAAAGAGTCTTGGAGAGAAGCATGGGACAGATTTTCCCTAAGAGCTTCAAAAAGGAATCAACTATGCCAATACCGTGATGTCTGATTTCTGGCCTCCAGAACCGTGAGAGGATAAAGTTTCATTGTTTGAAGCCACCAAGTTAGTGGTAACTTGTTATAGTAGCCACAGGAAACTGGAGAAACGTCTCTGTATTTTCATGTCTAGTACTAATGGTTAACAGGAAATAAAAGCAGCCCAATAAAAGCGGTTCTAGATGCTTCAGATATTAAGATTTGGGTTATCTCACTCTCAGGTGCTGGTTGAGGGCAATGGGGCAATGGGCCTGTATCCCATAAAAGGGAAACCATAAATACGAACCATGGTCTCATGGCCCCGTTACAGAAATGAGGATTATAGGAGCCATGTGTATTTTCTTCATTGTTTGTAGTGTATATTTTTATATACATTAATTATATTTTTTCCACTTTCACTCCCTCTTGTATTAGTTTTCCATGCAATGTAATGAATTACCACAAACTCAGAGACTTAAAAAACAATATACATATATGATCTCACACTTTCTGTGGATAGGAAGTCTAGGCATGCCTTAGCTGGGTCCTCTGCAAAGCTGCAATCTATGTGCTTTCCTGTCCAGATCTTGGAAGTCCAAAAGTGTTTCCTCCTCTTCTATTTTCTTGGAAAAGATTGTGTAGAATCAGTGCTAATTCTTTACATGTTTATTAGAAATTTCCAATGAAACAATCTAAGCTCAGATATTTCTTTTTTGAGATTTTTAAATTATAAATTCAGTTTCTTTAATGGTACTGCTTTTATTGGGTTGCTTTTATTTTCCGTATTTTCCAGAATATCAATTTTATCTTAGTTGCGTTTTAACAGTTAGTAGTATTTCAGAAATTTGCTCTCTTTTTTTTGTAAATTGTCCAATTTTTTAATATAAAGTTTTTTTGCAGTATTCTCTATCTTTTTTTAAATTTCGACTTCTATTTTAGATACAGTAGGTGTATGTTCAGGTTTGTTAAATGGGAATATTCTGTGGTGCTGAAGTTTGGAGTACAGATACTGTCACCCAAAAAGCGAGCATAGTACCTGATAGTTTTGTAACGCCCCGCCCCCCATTCTCTAGTACTCCACAGCGTCTATTGTTCTTGTATTTATGTCCATGTGTACTCTAGCTCCCATTTATGAGTGAGAGCATGTGGTATTTGGTCTTCTGTTCCTGCCTTAATTTGCTTAGAATTATGGCCTTAAGCTCCATTCATTTTGCTGCAAAGGACATAATTTCATCCTTTTTTTGTGGCTGCATGGTATTCCATCATGTGTATGTACCACATTATCTTTATCCAAGCTATCATTGATGGGCCCCTGAGTTGAATCCATGTCTTTGCTATTGTGAATAGCATAAGGATGAACATACAAGTGCATGTGTCTTTTTGGCAGAATGATTTATGTTCTTTTGGGCATAATGGGGTTGCTGTAATGGGATTGCTGGCTCAACTATCTTTTTAATGTGTGCAGTATCTATAATGATGTTCTGTTTCAATCTTGATACTTATTTTTTTCTCTTAATTTTTGTCTGTCTTGTTAGAGATTTATCGATTTTATTAATATTTTGGAATTTTTTTATTGATATTCTCTAATGTTTTATTATTTTCATTGCCATTGATTTCTGCTCTTATCTTTATTATTTCCTTCCTTCTGTTTGCTTTTGTTTTCCTTCTTCTTTTTGTGTTTTCATGAGATAGGTTCTTAGGTAATTGATTTGAGAGCTTCCATCACTTCAAACGTAAGCATTTAATGCTATAAATTTCCTGCTCAGGACTACTTCAGGTGTCTCTCAGAAATTTTGATACTTACAGTTCTTCCAGTTCTGTTCTAAAAAGTTTCCTTTGAAACTTTTTCCTTGACTCATGAAATACTTGGTAGAGTATAGCTTAATTACCATGTGTTTAGAGACTTTCCTACTGTCTTTCTGTTATTTAATTCTAGTTTGATATCTTTATGGCCAAAGACCATACTCTACAGAATTATTTTAAATGTGTTTTGTTGAGGTTTGTGTTATGGTCCATGACATAATTTATCTTGGTAAATGTTCCATAGGAACTGGAATAAAGTGTATTCTGCTGTTGTTGAGTATTCTATATTTCATCAATTAGATCTGGTGATTGATTGTATTGTAGATTTCTATATCTTTGTGGATTTTCTGTCTAGTAATTCTACCAGTTGCAGAAAGTGGGTATTTGAAGTTTCCAACCATAATTGTAGATTTCTCTAATTTCATCTCTATCAGTTTTTGATTCACGCATTTGGGGACTCTGTGTTTTGGTATGTATAGTTAGCACTATTATGTCTTCCTTGTGGATTGATCCTTTTATCATTAGTTAATCACCCTCTATGTCTGCAGTAATTTTATTTTTGCATGAGTCTACTTTAGCAGATATTACTATAGCTACTCATGATTTTTTAAATTCACTGTTTGCATGGTATACATACACCATTTTCCTTCCCTTTACTCTCAACCTACCCATTTCATTGAATATGAACTGATATTCTTATACATATTATATAGGTGGGTCATGTTCTTTGTAGTTGGCTTTTATGCAGTCTGTCAAATTATATGTTTTATTGGCTTTTTAAAAAAAACTTTTAAAGTAATTATTGATAGTTTAGCAACTGTCATTTATTTGTTTTCTGTTTATTTTCTCTGGTTCTTATTCATCTGTTTCTCTTTCCTTACCTTCCTTTGGGTTATGTGAACATGTTTTAGGATTCCATCCTGATTCACTTATAGTGCATTTGAGCATATTTTTTCATATACTTTTCTCAGTGGTTTCTTTGATGATTATCCTGTAACATGTGATGTGTTACAATCTAGTGGTATCAATATTTTACCATGTCGAGTGAAGTATAAAAATCTTACTTCTACTTAGATGTCTTTCCTTTCCCACTTTTAACTATCATTTTATTGAGTTTCAGATGGTGTTGGAATTTTTTTGTTTCAATCATCAAAAACGACCTATGAGACAAATACATGTAAATAATGTTTTTGTAGGTACCCATAATTCTACTATCCATTGTTCTTTCTCCTTTCCTGATACTTGAAAATTCCTTCTTCTATCATTTACTTCCTGTTTGAAGACCTTCTTCAGCAAATCTTCAAGGGAAGGTCTCCTGGCAACAAGGTAACATAAGCCAATAGCCTGCAAAGCTTAAACTATTTACGGGATGGCCCTCTTCAGATAGACATATGACTTCACTAGGTTTTAATTTCTTAACCTTAACAACAAGGGCATAGGATTAGATAATTTCTAATGTCCCTCTAATATTCTATAATTTCATGAGAAAAATATCAATCCTCTAATTTCTTACGAGAAAATGAGATTCTTTTTCCTCAATGATCACATTTGATCACAGGCAATAAAAAACTTGACGTTGAAAAATAAGTCAAATTAATGAATACATACTTTATCATTCCAAGAATATAACATGAAGGTGAAATCAATTTTGGTCTGCTGACTGTGCTTCAGGTAATTAGATTTGTAGAACTAGAGTTCAGGTTCCCATTGTGAGCTGGCAACAGCCCACACTGCTTTACACCTGCCATGGAAGTCAGCAGGCATCATCACAATCTGGAAATGCGATGCTTCCACAGATGCTATTCTGCACTTGTGACTAAAATCGTTCTGGCTGTCCCACGGCTCACAGAACAACTGCTCCCCTTTTGAGTTCTCAGTATTATTATTTCCAGAAGAATTATCTCCTACTCATCATTTTGGGGAGTGCTTACTAGGTAAAATGTGTGAATTATTTTCTGAAACATGCTCTTCTGAATTTAGTCCAGGTACAAAGGAGCAGAAAGAGAAGCTGATCTTGTTTTTGTTGTTGTTTTGTTTTTATCTTAGGAGTCAAGATTCATCTACATGTATTTTTAAAACAGAAAAATATGTAAGGAAACAAGGCAAATAGGAAAAAAGAACATGTATGGAAAACAGTTATGATGGCTATTTTAAGACAGCTAAAACTCATATTTCTTTTAAATGATTTAAAAAAGTTAAAACAGTAAAACCAGTTATTCCATAATGGAGGTCACAGACTGGGAGCCTGAAGCTCTTACACAACCACAGCAAGTGTAGCCTTCAGACAGGGTTGGTTTGTTCTGCACAGAATTGGGCCAGAGGTTTGTTTTCATCTGTATTTCTAAACTTAATTGGTTACCAACATTCGGAAAAGTTTCTAAATTAATCTAAACATTTTGATTTCTACATTCTCTTGGGAAATGGGCCATGCTTGGGTCCATATTCCTGTGCAGCAAAGGCTGCAGGAAGGTAGTGCTGCTGCAGGTGTTGCATGTGCTTTCGAGTCCCAGTGGGGGCAGCCCTCCCCACATTGCTCCCTTTTGTCCCCATGTCAAACAGCAGGTACCATTTATTATCACTCACATTTTTTTGTGTTTCTTACAGTACAGCTGAATATGGCAGAATATCTAGTATCCATTTTTGAATCAACAGTGGGAAAATGCAAGATTAATCAATAGGAACATGTGTTTTAATAAAACTAGGAGGCAGAATTTTCTTGTAGAGATGAAAAATATTCCTATTAGGAAACACACAAGCTAAGGACGTTCATTGTAATAATATGACCTGAGTGACCATTCTTAAATATACATGGCTCACTTCCCACACTCATGGTCCCTGCTGGCCTTGCAGGCATGAATTTCCAACTCTTTTCTCAACAAATAGTAGGTGGATGCCATGACATTCATATTTTTCTCTACTTTCTCAGTTAGATTTTGTCTCCCCAACCATGCAGCATTGTCTAAATGCATGTACGTTCTAATTTCTATTTAAGAAAAGAGGCCAGGCATGGTGGCTCATGCCTATAATCCTAGCACTTTGGGAGGCCGAGGTGGGTGGATCACGAGGTCAGGAGTTTGAGACCAGCCTGGCCAACAAGGTGAAACCCCGTCTCTACTAAAAATACAAAAATTAGCCAGGTGTGGTGGCGCACACCTGTAATCCCAGCTACTCGGGAGGCTGAGGCAGGAGAATCACTTGAACTCAGGAGGCAGAGGTTGCAGTGAGCTGAGATCACGCCACTGCACTCCAGCCTGGGAGATGGAGTGAGACTTTGTCTCAAGAAATAAAATAAAATAAAGTAAATATAAAAACAAGAAAAGAAGTCATTGGTGACTCAATTTAGACATTCCTGTTCTTCATATTCTATATCTGAATAGACTGCATAGATTATATCTAAGTACTGAGGGTTGGATTCTTATGGCCTAAGTGCTACATATTCCTGACGGAATCAAGACTAATATATCCTAAAAGACTAATCAAATCTGCCCAGAGAACATGAGAAGGAAGGCATTTTATGACAGATAACATCTCATGATGATGGACTTGCCAATTGTATTAAATGATCGACAATACTTAACATCTAACACAGAAAATTGAGTGCTGATTTATTCCGATGTAGTTGATTAGTTTCAACATAGTCTTAACATTAAAGAAGGAGCTTTCAGATATTCCATAGTGACCTACGTTTGCTTCAATGATTTAGAAACTCTCCATTGGTGTCTTTCCGGATTTGATAACAACAGGGTCTCTGTGTTGTTCGTTATCTTCCAGGTTAGCTAGCATTTCAATTCACTTTGGAGGAAGCTGGAAGTTCAGAAGTGTCATATATATCTACCACATTTCCATTGATTTTTGGCCAATTTATATTCCAAAAAGCCACTTATAGCTACTTAAAGTAGCCTTTCCTTTTAGTTTCAGAGAGATATAATAATACTCGAATACTCTGCAGACTGCTTGAACAGACTGGAGTTGTGAACAAATTCAGGTATCTCTTCTACTCCAAACCTCCCTAAGCTGTGAGGCTATGAAATAATATGTAAGTAGAAATGATTAAGGGAGGCACAGCCAGCCGCCTTCTAGCTTCACTCAGTGTTGAATGAAATGGCACATAGACTCTACACTAAGTAGGGGTGTTTACTAAAACACTGAAATAAGTCTAGGAAGGATGTGGAGTCTCTGCCTATGGAAACATTTTATAAGGTAAATATTACATATTATACCCAGGGTATGTGATGGATTATTGATTTCTGGCTATTTTGTTATTAAAAAGAATGCTTGCCAAAGTGCACAGAAATTAAATATAAATGCTGAATTGTCACTCCCCTATGAAAGTTAGGCAAATCTCTGGGCATGGTGGCTCACACCTGTAATCCCAGCACTTTGGGAGGCCAAGACGGGTGGATCCCCTGATGTCAGGAGTTCAAGACCAGCCTGGCCAACATGGCAAACCCCCGTCTCTGCTAAAAATACAAAAATTAGTGGGACGCGGTGGCAGGTGCCTGTAATCCCAGCTACTTGGGAGGCTGGGGCAGGAGAATCGCCTGAACCTGGGAGGTGGAGGTTGCAGTGAGCCAAGATCGCACCATTGCACTCCAGCCTGGGCGACAAAAGCGAAACTCCATCTCAAAAAAAAAAAAAAAGGCAAATCTCAAAGGTGGTCTTCCAAAGCTAGTAGACTGCCCACCTCATATTTTCAGTTGAGCTACAATCAGCCCCTGCTCTTCTGCATTTTAGTATTTACTGGTATCTATTAAGTTCAGGTGCTAAGAACCTCTTGCCTTACACCATTTTCTGGAAGGAGAGTAGATATGAGAAGGAGCAGCCTTTGGTGTCTGACTTCCAAGTTTACGACATGAATGCCTGGAACTCAAGAGATTCTTGTGGTAATATGAATACTGAATGAGCACATCAGCACATCAGTGTGGAGATAAACATGCAGCCTCTCCATGTCCAGGCAAAAAATATCTCCCCTTTTGTTTATCTTTCAATGTCAGAGATCATTTGGCTGCAACACAGCAACACCTTTATCTAAAGACTGATGGTTAATACTGAGTGTCAACTTGATTGGATTGAAGGATACAAAGTATTAATCCTGGGTGTGTCTATGTGTTGCCAAAAGAGGTTAACATTTGAGTCAGTGGGCTGGGGAAGGCAGATCCACCCTTAATCTGGTGGGGACAATCTAATCAGCTGCCAGCAAATATAAAGCAGGCAGAAAAACGTGAAAAGGCAAGACTGGCCTAATCTCCCTGCCTACATCTTTCGCCTGTGCTGGATGCTTCCTGCCCTTGAACATCTGACTCCAAGTTCTTCCATTTTGAAACTCAGACTGGCTCTCCTCCTCCTCAAGCTTGCAGACAGCCTATTGTGGGACCTTGTGATCATGTAAGTTAACACTTAATAAACTCCTTTATATATTTATCCTATTAGTTCTGTCTCTCTAGAGAATCCTGACTAATACAGACTCCAAAGCCTAAGTATTAGAAAAGGCTAGGAGACAACTCTAAGAGAGATAACACTTATTTCCAAGAATGGTTTTAAAACTCAAAAATTCCCAGTTGCTGGTGTGTCTCTGGCCCACACACTTCCAACATCTCCTTAGTGATAGTTATAGAAAGGGGGTCTGTAAAATTCAACGACATGACAGCCATTTAAGGAATAACTAAATTAGGAATAGGAAGCCCTAAACTATGAAAAGCATGTAGAGCTGTGCCAGTGGAAGAGGACCCCACCCCCAGCCAGCACCAGGACATCCGCCCAGAGGGACATGGCTGGGGGTGTCGGAGAACATAGTCATGCACAAGACTACTTAGGGAGCCCTTAAGGGTATAAGATATGAGCTTTTGAATATGAGTTTTGAGAGCAACAGGCAACCCCTCTTCCATTGTCTCCTGATCAAGTGGCTTCTGTGGTGCCCAAACAAAGCAAGCATGATATTTCAATTTCCTGTTACAAAGAAAGAGAACTCTTGTTCTTTGAATTACAGAGGCTGCACAGACCTCTGAGCTTTGTGGACAGTTGTGCTCATGATAACTTTGCTGGTGTGTGGTGCAGTCATGAGCAGAAATGAAGTCAGTGTCACACAGTGAAACAGAATCTTCTATAGGATAACATAATAAACATTACCGGGTAAAAAAAATCTTGGGCGAGTTTGTGGATTTTTTTTTGTTAAATGCCTCCATGTTTAAATGAAAATCAGCTTTCCTAAGAAAAGTTTGCTTTATCTGAATTTTTTAAAAAGTCACGCATTTTCTAATAAAGTACATAGCAAATGGGAGATTGAAGATGTCCATTATGATAATAATACTTTAAGAGAAAATTGATTAATGAGGAACAATAGAAATGAAATTCTAAATTTTTTTGTCTATCTTTGTGACATTTGGGAAACAATGTGTTTAGTGGTAAAGACATAGCTGCTAAGTAGGAATGAATCTGTTGACAAATCATGTACCTTCTCATTAGCTTCCATTTCATCATCTGTAAAATAGGGATCATAAGTACCATTTGTCATGTTGGTTATAAGAAAAAAGTAAGATGTGTATTATATAAATGGATAGTGACAAACACAAATGGAAAATGTGTATTACATACATGGATAAATATAGAAACCAACAAACAAAAAATGATGTCAATCTCCTGGCCTTTTCCATCTCCACCTACTGGACATTTTGGCATTAAATTAAGAAAATAAAAATAAAAGAAACTAGAGGTTGGAAATCAGTTTTACTCTTTAAATAGAGTTTTTGTGGCCTACTTGTATCAACGAGTATAGGAATAAGCTACTCATTTAGTGGTGAATGCATAAACATTAAGAGGAAAAAATGATGTGCAAACAATAACTGTTATAATTATAAAAACTTTATTTCATTCTTACTTTAATTAAATCTTTATAAGCACCATGTCATGAGCTGGCAATCTAGAAAGAGGACACTGGAATGCTTTAGTCAATTACAAACTGCAAGCTGATGATGTGAAGTTACAGCTACGTGGAGCATGTGAACAAGACCACATTTAGAAAGGTTCACTTAAGAATCCCATGACAATGCGCAAAACAGGAATCTGGCATTGATTTGTTCACACTTTTTATAGTCAGAACGCAAAGCTTGTGCATGTAAACATCAAGAGAAACATTTTATCACCCTGACAGTTTACAGTTTGCTCAAATTTGACCCTGAAAGCATATATGTTGCCATCTTGTTTTCTTGACCAGTGCTGGGCCACAGGCTGAAAAACTCCATTCCTTTAAAATTTAAATGATGCTTAAAGGCTATGTTCAACATTGTGCAAGTTGTCAGCAAGGCCTTTTAATGTGTACATTTCTCATGTATGATCACCAAACCATTATTTACCTAATGAAATTGTGAAAAACTATACATATTCAGCAAAATGTTTTAATTTGGTCCTATATTAAAAGACCCAATTGCCAAGGGATTTTACACAAATTTAATTCACAAGCATGTACACAAGAGAATCACTATAAAGAACATTGCTTCCTGGTTTATGAATAAAAAGTTTATCTTCTACTTACACTAAAACATACAAAAAATAATCTACAAAAATCGTTTACAATTGATTTTAGCTAAAGAAAAAGCTTTCTTCAGGAAAAAAAAGATGATTGTGTGGTGGTAGTATTTTAGCCATCAAAAAAGGAATGTAAGTAACCAATAAATATAATGTGCTTTCTCCATATAGACATATTTACACTTGAGTCTTTGGCTTATGTTATTTTCTAAAAAGAACTTTAAATGATCCAGCCATCATTGCACATTAAAAGAAAATAAGCCAGTTATATATATTTATATATTTATATAGAGATCTGCTACACTGGAAACATATAAAAAACGAACTTTACTATGAATTTGCACAGCTTTTCTTTTCTTCTTCCTTTTAAGATTCATCAGCTTTCATTTTAGAAAGGGAGAAAAATGCCACGTAGAAAGTATGAACTCATGCAACATGTGGTAGCTGCTCTACTGAAACCATGAGAAAAAAGGTGGCATGTTCACTGTACAAACACCAATACGTTCTCATTTCAATCTGGTTCTTATTAAATATAATTTATGTGGCATGAAATGTTGATGCTTTAATATAGTAATAAAAACTAATTCAGTCCTTTTTATTAAGATACACAACTTCATAAAAAAAATACTTTTACCTCTCAAATGTAAAAGTCTCCCACCCCCCACATTAAAATCTTTCTGCACAAGTGTAACAGGTACAACAGCTGCTGGCTCAATAGATGGACAGGTTTCTTCATGGATGCACTTTAAAGAGTCTCACCCAACTAAGATGATTCCAGGTACTCCAAAGCTACATCATAGCAGAAACGGTATTGCTCCTGAAAGATGTCAAAACACAAAGAGTGAGAAAACTTAAGAAAGAGACTAATGTTGAATAACAGTTACCAAATGAAACTTGACAACCAATTTAGATTACTCAAGGATTACAATTTATTTTTTCTATATATGAGATTAATATCTAGGCATACATATTTTATACTTGAGTCTAATGATCCATTTAAGAAAAAGGAAATTTATCTTAAAAAGACATTTTATCTTTGCCGCATATTTTCTATCAATTTTTTAAATATCTATAATTTTTTATCTGTTTATAATAGTAATATTTGATCATTACAGAACAATTCTGTACAAATATAAAGAATATACACATTCTGAACAAACATAAAGAATGAGAAAAAGAGCTATAATTCTATCATCAGAAGAAATTGTTAAAATATCACCTTAGTTTGCCTCAGTTCTTTTTGTGCATGGTTGAAATAATTATCTTAGAATAAATATAACTATGTATATTTCAAAATATAATTTTAAATGTAACTTTTAAAATTTAACATTGTTACAATTCTTTTTCCATGTTATTTAACATCTTTTAATACCACATAAAAATCAAATATATGTATTGTTTGACTATTAAGTTGCTTTTATTTTTTTCTCTATTTTATAATGCTACAGTGATAAACTGCAAATGTTTTTCTCCATATATTTCAGATGATTTCCTTGAGAAAAAAAAAGCCAGCCATTTTAAACAGCCATTTATGCAATTTCAAGTTCTTAATTTTTGACACTGTTTTTGTCCATCAGAGTATTTAAGCAAATTTTTCAAGAATGGTTAGTGATCCTTAAATTTTGAGCCTACTTATACCTGAAAATGTATTTCTGCTGCCTTTATATGTTTAAGACAACATATTGGCAATAAAATTTTTGAGTTAAAACTGCCTTTCCTCTAAGCCCATCTATGGACTTGCTCCATAATAAGAATTTAGAAAAATTCAGAGACCATATCATAAACTATTACTTATAATATGCAATTCATTTAAAAATTCCCAACTCAGTTCATTCAAGTGGGTAAAATTCAGGCTGGAGAACAGTCTAAAATGCATATTATTTTGGAATAGAAGTTCGAGGTGTCTCCAGCAATAAACTAGGGTAATAAAACTTTCCTTAAGAGGTCTTTATCATTCCAACACTATTCACCAAGTAGTTATGATTCAAATTCACCTACCACTGTGGCGAGTGCATTCAAGGAACCAAAATGTGCCTAGAAATAGTTATGTCTCTTTAAGCAGTCTCCAGCAATATTGCCTTCACTCTAAATCTCCTCACCAAACTCCTCAGCTCAACTCCACAGCTCACTAAACTAATCATCAACACTGATTAAACACAAATCAGAGGGTGGGGTGTTCAGGATTCACGGGACATGAATGTAAAGGAAAATAGTAACTTTTTGGAAGGTCCCAGAATGGCACAGTTTAACCATAGATTTTTTTTTTAATTAAAAAAGGTGGGAAATCAGTTAAATTTGAAGGTAAAAGTTGAATTCTGAAGTCAGAAATGATCCCACTGATGATTTTAAGACTTGACCTGAAAAATGGAGGCAGAGTTTACATCAAGAAATCTTCAAATCGCAAAGTTTAGAGACATAACCACTATTCATTTAGTTGCTAAGACGATCTGAGAGTTCTCCCTCAAAAATCCCTCCGATTCATCCCCCCTTTCTCATCTCCATAGCCAGCACCCCAATCAAAACCAATGTAATCTTGTGTAGACAGCTGCAACAACCCAGGGAAATGAGGTGGTGTAGGGAGTTTGAGGACACCTGTAGAAAGGGTGGAAGTCTGGTACCGCTTGTAAAAGTGAAACAGTACAAACCTAAGTCTTCAGATTTTGTCTCAGGAAGCAACGCAACTCTTGTGCGAGCAATCCATGAGCAGGAAGTGGTGAAATACTTTAAAGGTTTATTGAATTGCTCATTCTAGTTATCTGATCATCTTGATAAATGTAGGGCAAGCAACAATGATGCCTTGGTTTTTCTGGTTTACTTTTCTGTGAGCATACACTACACAGCTGCTCCCAACCTGATCCCACCATGCACATACATATGTGTAACCCACAGATATCTCTCGTTAGAAGTAAAATGTGTTAGATAAGTGTAACTTTCTTTCTTACTCTGCATACAGCTTCACCTAGATGAACTGTCACACACACACATACCTATCAGCTCTTATTTTGTAAGCTATGTTCTGACTTTACGAGCCTTGACAAGCTCAAGTAGCATGATATGAACTGCCCTCTACAGTTGGTAAAAGCTGAAAACTTAACCATGATAGTTTAACCATTTACAATTTGATCAGAAAATGAATGAATAATTATAGATAATGACAAAACTAAATTTCATTGCCTTTTAAAAATACTGGGTGTCTAAGGTACTGATGAAACCTATATCCCTTAGACATACAGCCTTGATATAGGATTTATTCTTCTTATAGGACCATTTACCAAAGTTTACTGCAGCAAATATTTTTTGGCTATAACAGAAAAAAAATCCTACAAATTTCCCAAATTAAATGAAAATAGTTTCATGATTAGCAGTTTATGCAATACGTGATTAAGTGTCTGTGGGTAGAGGGGGATGCTCAGCAATGTATTAATTAGGCAGGAAAGTCCCCACAACGTCTCATTTTCACATCTGATTCCCTATGTGTGTATGAAGTCAAATCAATAAGTAGGTATATGACTAACTAATCTCTAAGATGCCTTCCAAATCTAAGATTCTGTGACTCACCGGGGCTTCCACCATGTTTGGCTTGCTGTTCCTCAGTGTCTTTACTGCATGGAAAACATCGACAACATTTTGCCGTTTCACCATTTCAACAACGATGCCTATAGCACAGAACATGCCACTTCGCCCGCCACCATTTCTGAAAGCAAAGAAAGCAAAGGCATTTTAGATAGCAGCACCAAGTGACCACAGGTCACACCATCATATATGTTTGGGAAAATAAGACATTGTAGTTTTAATTGTTTTCCATTTGTGTCTTAATTTTGCTTTATATGTGTACAAGGCAGAGAGGAGAAAACTTGAGGATGAAATTAGATCAGTAGCTTATACTCAGGAAAATGCTATAGGCATAGATTGCTGCAATCTAGACTTTGAGATTCTGATATATTTGTAAACTGTGTAAATCAGAAGTTGTTACGAGTAGTGTTCCAAAGAGTTTAAATAATATAGCTATATAATAATCAATATTTAGAAAATATACAAAATAAACTTAGTAGTTAATTATAGACTCATGAGACAGGAAGACTGTTTAAAAATAACATCTATGGGAGGTCCATAAGATGCAAGCCAGATAGTCTTTAACATTGAAAATGAGAAAATAAGCACCAAGGCCCCATGAATGACAGGCTGAGCTGCCCTACTCACAGGCAGTGGATAATCGTCCGGCCTTCCCCTTCCTCGCATTCCTCCTGCCACTTTTCCACCTGAAGTATCAGTTTCAAGAATGACCTTTTGGATCCAGGCACTTCTCGATGAGAAGCCCATCCTAGGTACTGAAACTGTTGCACCATCAGATAACCTTCCTGTGGCTGTAGAGGGAAGTGTTTTTATGTAAATACGCTGGGACTACAATTTTTACTAAAAAGTAAAAGGTGCATATAATTTACAATACAAATGGCATCTACACTGGATTGAGTCTAGCTGATATAAATCCTCAATATGTACATGCTAGTAAAAAAACATTCTAAGTGACAACAGCAGGAAACATGGCAATCATCCTTTATACCTGTTTCTCCCTCGCACTATGTATCCAGTAATTCATTACTACGATTACATTTCCTAAATAACTTTCAGATTCATTGCCTTCTCTTTATCACCACTGACATCAATACACTACTAGTCACAGGTTCTGATAATTACCTCCTAGCTGATCTCCCTGAATAAACTTTGATCTCCTTCCAGTCCATTCTTACTATAGGCATCATGATTATTTTGAACTGCAGATACAATCTTGTCATTTCCTGCTTTAATGATTTTCAAATGATCTTAGCATAAAATCCAAATTGTTGTCATGGCTTAAAAAAACTTATGTGATCTGGCTCCACCCCCTTCTTCAACCTTCTCTTTGTCTTCTTTTAATCCATATATCAAGTCTCTTCTTGCCTTGGGGACTTTGCATATACTGTATGTACCCTTTGCCTTGAATACTTCTTCCTTGCTTGGTCTTCTCAATCCCAAATAGAATGACCAACTTGTCCCAGGTTGGCCTGGGACTTCTCTGGTCTTAGCACTGAAGGCTGTGTGTCTTGGGAAAGCTCCTGCCCTGGGCAAACCAGGATGGTGGGTTACATCAACCCCCAACTAATTTCTATTGATTCATTAAATTTTGGCTTAAATACTACTATCGCAAAGAGGTCATCTCTGATCACACAGTTATGTCAGATCACCCAGTTAAACACTCTATATTCTTTACTCTTTCACTGTAAAATGCATCACTTTTATACAAAAAGGATTATACAATTTTCATGTAATGCTTTTCTTCCTGAAAAAAATAAAGATTCCTTAAGTACACGGAAATCTTTTTTTCCTACACTCTGTATCAGTAGAACTTTGCATAATACTTCCCCAAAAGTAGTAGTGTTGAAAGAATGAATCAAAACCTTAAACCTTGAAATAAAAATATCAGGAAGAATATGTAATATATGAGTAAATCATATCAGATTGGCAAGAGCCCATGCATCTTTTGGTAGATTACAAGCCCTACTTAGTACTCTACAAACTTGTTGGTACATGTTAAATGTTTGATGCAGTTAAATATATTAAATATATTAAATGATGAGAGTGAGAACAGAAAAAAAATCATGTACTAATAAGGACCAGAATACCAAATACAGAGGCAGTTCAATAAGTAAGCAAACAAATAAATAAATATGCTGACAAAAATATAACATTTCAGTTCCTGTTCCTAGAATATTTTTCACATAAACTGCTCAATTAACAGACAAGCCTTACTGTCTTCAGCAGTTCTGTTTTTTTCCAACTCAAATATTACTAGAACCATAATGTAACAGATGTGCAGACATAATGAGATTCCATTTAAATTAACATCTAAGATATGCATGAATATTATGAGATGATTGAAGTTATCCTTTTTTTCTCCACTGAAATGAGCAATAGGAGTCGATATGATTCCATTCCCTGCTCATAGTTATATACATATAGACTTATTAACCAGACACACACGTAGTCATTTTGATATGAGAGACACTGAAACATGATAATCCTAATCACACACTTAAAATACATACCCACAGAGCTGGTGCTTTAAAAAACAGAGTAATGTTTCTCTCTAAAAAGAGCTTAATTTCATGAAAGTTACTAATGTTTTCTTTTCCAATTCTGCTTGTTATTTGGTTACATAATCTAAATTGTTTTTATTAATATCTTTTTTTGGGGGACGAAGTCTCGCTCTATACAGCCTGGGGTGCAGTGGCGTGATCTCAGCTCACTACAACTTCTGCCTCCCGGGTTCAAATGATTCTGCTGCCTCAGCCTCCCCACTAGCTGGGACTACAGGCATGCCACCACCATGTCCAGCTAATTTTTGTATTTTTAGTAGAGATGGGGTTTCACCACGTTGCCAGGCTGGTCTTGAACTCCTGACCTTATGATCTGCCCGCCTTGGCCTCCCAAAGTGCTGGAATTACAGGCATGAGGCACTGTGCCCGGGCTTTATTAGCACTTTTTTTTTTAAGATCTTCCCCACCCACATTGAATTTGTCATGTAGTGGAAAGCAAATGAGGAGTCAGAGAAAGACGATACAGTTACTACTTTGCTGCTGGGAAAAGGCATGGTGGTAGCAGCACTGGTTCTACCTTTAGATCTGCTTAGAGCCATAGGTTGAGACGTTTAGGAAGATGAAATTGCAGGTAGGATAATCAATAATGAACTTGGAACAGTGACATGGAACCCTTCTATAATGGTTGATCCAACATGTCTCTTTCCTCCTGCAGTACAGTTTCTCTGTCATTATTGTTATTGCAATGTTCTTATTTTTTTTATCACATGCCATTTCTGGGCTGGATGTCAATACTAATAAAACATGCAGTCATCCTTAAGATAAGTCTACATACACTCAGAGGCCAGGCCTAGGCTGTCCAACTTGACTGAGCCAGTGCATCTGTATTTCCTGAGAGAATATGCTAGTCTAGTGACTGACCGAAAAACCTAGCTTCCAGCATTTCTGTTTTCCTGTATTTTTATTCGAGTACTAAGGCATAAGATGGTTACTAGCTTTGAGGTGGATGATATAGTGCTTATTAATTGTAGTCTCCCTGTTGTCTGAATAAAATTATACCACATCTTGGTTATGACTGACCTATTCTAGATCAGCTCAAAGGATCCGATAGTGACTTACTCTTGTTAGATTGCATATCCTAAAAATCCGGTTGATCACATCACAGTCCATTGAACAAGACATACATTCCACTTGGATGGGGCCATATCGTAGCATCCCTTCCTCTGGCCAGTACTGAGGGCAGCCCTAAATGATGAACGTTTTGAAAGAAAAAAAAAAAGAGTATTATTTTTTCTAGTTAGGAGAGTATAAAGCAGATTTTAGCAATTCATTACTACTCTATTAAGTTGTATATAAGTACATAAAAGCAATCCATAGCCATTAACCTGGGACAAGTCGACTTCGTTTAACATCACAATGGAGGTACAGCCATAATCATACACTAATCTCCAGAAGTCTTTTACAGTGTTTGGCAGAGGGTATTGTGTGACGATGAAAGCAGCTGGTTGCCTGTAGCTCTGTGAAGAAACAAGGTAGATGGAGAAATATAAAAACTTAAAATGTATGATCGGTTGTACAAACAGATACAATACACTTCAATGTAGGACCAGTAAGATGCAATAGCTTCATATGCAGAAGGAGCCAGAGTGATGATTAAACCATGGAATAGGAGATTCAGACCACTGGAATGAACTGAATTAGTACAGTAATGAATCAATTTGGTGGAAGACTTCAATGCTTCCAAAGCAATTCAAGTCAATAACTGAGTTTTTACTTTACTGAAAGACGTAAATACAGGACAAATACAAAAGAAGAAACTAAAAAGCTTCTGAGGTTAACATCCTCTGTAAGGTTCCTGTTGGGCTATTTCAATTTTCCAAACGTAATCAGTCTCTGAGAGGCTGAAGGCAAAGTAAGCACAAAACCCCTGGTATGTCTATCAATCATCTGGGTATGTGTATAGTGTGTGTGCGTGCAAGTAAAATTGTTTTACTCTTCTCCACTCCAAATAAGAAAAACCACAAGTAGCTCAAACACTTGTGCTTTTACATTATGTGGACACTACCAGGATATTCTGCACATCTTGCAGACAATCCACCTTCCACAGCTTCCTGGGCATTTCTAACATATATCAAAGGTCATAATGACAGTCTCAACCATTTAAGATCCTGAAGCACCAAAGCATAACAGCAATATATTTCCTGTCCCCACATAAGCGGGGAGATAGCTCCTTGTTAACCAAGTCCTCCTTGATTAGAACACAATATATTATCTCTTTCCAAAGGGAGAAGTAGTAAAAACAATATTTATCTGGACTGGACAATTGCCATTTGATTTAAACTAATTATTTGCAATAATAATAATAATAATTAGTAGATTATAGAGTTCCCTAATGCTGACAAAAATTTTCAATGATCTTGTAACTCATTTGTATCATACTACTATTTAAGTCCTTCAAGAATCTTAACATCAGCACAGGAACTGGTTCTTGGACTTCACTGATGCTACCACCATTTGGGAAATGCTACCAACCATGGCATTCAGCGTTGGCTGAAGACTGCAGGATAAATCTGAGTAGATGACAATAATAATTTACCTGGCTACTTCTAAATGACCTCAAAACCTTACCAAGTTACACGTGCAGCTGGGATGAGTGTCTCCTAAGAAAGGCAGGAAGGTTCATGAGTCATATTGTTTGGCTCTGTGTCCCCACCCAAATCTCACCTAGAATTGTAATAATCCCCACATGTCAAGGGCAGGACCAGGTGGAGATAATTGAATCATGCAGGCAGTTTCCCCCATGCTGTTCTCCAGATAGTGAGTGAGTTCTCATGACATCTGGTGGTTTTATAAGGGGCTTCCCCCTTTGCTTGGCACTCCTTCCCCTTCCTGCCACCATGAGAAGAAGGACGGGTTTGCTTCCCCTTCGGCCATAATTGCAGGGATCCTGAGGCCTCCCCAGCCCTGTGGAACTGTGAGTCAATTAAAACTCTTTCCTTTATAAATTACCCAGTCTCAGGTATGTTTTTATTAGCAGTGTGAGAATGAACTAATACAATGAGAAAAGTTAGAAGAAAGGAAGCTCTTCTTCCAATCAAATGTCTGCTCCATGCAAAGGTAAGTCAAAGCAGACTGACGGCTATCTACTCATTTTTTGAGCCACAGGGGAGGGGATATGCATGAGGAGGAGCTGATAAGAGAGGAGAAGACTGAAGACTTCCTATTCTTTTTCCCTCTAAATGCAGGAACATATGTAAGGCTTTGAAATTACAGAATTCTTGGCCCTAGCTCCTAATCCCTCATAGACCTGGCAAAAGGGTACTAATGATGGGGATAAAGGGTAGGGAGAAAGAAGTGAACAATAAACCCTGTTCTTGTAAATCAAACCAGCTTTACTTCTCCAACGGTTCATTTGCACTACTAAATCCCCAGAACAGCTTTAACTATGAAATGTCTTTTTTTTGAATCACAGGGGATTAAGCAGACAGTAAGAGCAGGTGGATTACAAGCTTCAACTTTCATACAGAAAAAAAGACAAGCTTGGACAAGAAAGCAAGACCCCATCTTTACAAAAAATAATAAAAAAAAAATTAGCTGGGCATGATGGCATACACCTTAGTTCTAGCTACTTGGTAGGCTGAGGTGGGAGGACCACTTGAGCCCAGGAGATTGAGGCTGCAGTCATCTGTGATCATGCACGACACTCCAGCCTGTGCTACAGAGTGAGAGCTTGTCTCAAAAAGAAAAAGAAAAAAGAAAAGAAAAGGAGACAATCTGGACATTGAGAAAAATTTGACAAAGATGCCAATGGCAAAAAATTCAAAGGCATCAATGCTTTTCTAAATATTATTATTTTCTCCTTTTCTTGTTCACACATCCTTTTTTTATTCCATATTTAGATGCAGAAATGAAAAAGTATTGTATGCCATCTCTCTATTTAGTATATTTGCCTTTCCAGACACCTAATATAAAAAGAAAAGGTATAATTAGGATTTAATGTGATTTCAGTGGATGTGATTAATGGCCAGGCAAGACTCCGATCACAGCAAGGATGAGAGCTTTTCACAGGCAAGAGTGACCACAGCAAGGACGAGAGCCTGCCTTTAGACTATTCCGCTTTGCAGCACCAAAAAGAGTAAAGTAACTGGTGAAGACTACTCGTAGAAACAGAATGTGGGCTTAACAGGAACAATAACTTAGAAAGCCTGTTATAGTCAGAAAGAAATGAACCGTGGCTTCTAATTTCTCCTTGATATGGTTTCATAGGAGAAAGGGCAAAAGCTAGAAATGAAGGCAGTAAACTGTTTAAAAAGATTATAAACCATGATAGCTTTCTTGCTTCTTTCCAACATAATCAAAGTAAAGTGGCCAAAGTCATAATTTAAAACTTTCTTTCCTTGGGAGGCCAAGGTGGGCGGATCATGAGGTCAGGAGTTTGAGACCAGCCTGGCCAATGTGGTGAAATCTCATCTCTACTAAAAATACAAAAAAGGCCCGGCACGGTGGCTTACGCCTGTAATCCCAGTACTTTGGGGGGCCGAGGCAGGTGGATCACCTGAGGTCAGGAGTTCAATACCAATCTGACCAACATGGTGAAACCCCATCTCTACTAAATACAAAAAATTAGCCGTGCATGGTGGTGCATGCCTGTAGTCCCAGCTACTTGGGAGGCAAAGGCAGGAGAATCGCTTGAACCTGGGAAGCAGAGGTTGCAGTGAGCCGAGATTGTGCCATTGCACTCCAGCCTGGGCAACAAGAGCGAAACTCTGTCTCAAAAACAAAAACAACAACAAACAAACAAAATAAGCGGGGTGTGGTAGAGCACGCTCCTGTATTCCAAGTTACTCAAGAGTCTGAGGCAGGAGAATTGCTTGAACCTGGGAGGCGGAGGTTGCAGTGAGCTGAGATCATGCCACTGCACTCCAGCCTGGGCGACAGAGTGAGACTCTGTCTAAAAAAAAAAAAACCAAAAACTAAAACAGAAAACTTTCTTTCCATATTGTTCTGTCTATGGGCTATATAACACCCTGCAATTTAAGATTTTAGAATGGGGCAAGATTGTTCTTTCATTATGATGGATGTGTTAACATAATACCATCCATCCCCTCTCTAGTTACTTATAATAGTCCTTATTGATTAATGGCCAACAAATTAATTGTAAATTATTGAAACATTAAATGTCAGAAATAAAAATTTCCCAAATTAACATGATTTTTGTAGGATTTGGCATTCTGTGATTTAAAAAATTCATTTCTAATTATATTCAAAATAGATAAGGCATGATTTTCTTTTCTGAAAATAATTAAGATGAAATTTATAACTTGCAATATTTACTACATGAATATAATAATTGACAATCAAGCTCCAAATCTACAATAAAGCTATAAAAATGACAGTTCTTAAGAATCTCTATAGGGAAAACCTAAAATCATTTTCCAAAAAAATGTGTTTCAATAAAAGTTTCCACTTTTCCTTTTTAGGTTATTTTAATTTCCTCGAAAAGAAAACTAGCCAGTGTTCAGTTGCATTATGTAGCTTTCCACAACACTCTACACTAACAAAGAGGGCAGTCTCTTACGTCCATAAGAGCAGCATTGATGTAGTTACTGCTCTCCCCATCAATTGTAATTAAAAAAGGCAGACATCTGTCAGGTGGCAGCATGTCCATGAAACGGTTCTTGTCATGGTTCCTTGGCAGGCACGCTATACTGCAGTCTTCAGCTTGTAGTCGAGGGGTGACTGAATTCAGAGTCTAAAAAGAAAAGAGAACCCAGGTTAAAAGACAGTGTGACCCATTTAACAGTATAACACAGATCCATCAGGAATTTAGAAGGCCAAGTAGAAAGTGAAGGATTTGTGCGAGGCAATGGCATTTGCTACTATGACAGGCTGATAGACCTTGTAGTTAAAGCTAATGAAGCCTGAGAAGTGACAAAGAAACAAGACACACATTGTTCAGGGCTCCTCTTCTTAAAAGGAAAAGGTACGCTAAACAACACTGCTACCTGCAAAATGCATTGCCTTAACCAAAGAAAATGCAATCGGGCAGTCCATTATGATAATGACCCTTCATCACACTGGGAAACGGTATCATTTGTAGTAACATCTGGGCTTGCCATATTTGAAGATAAGCTATGGCATGTTGGAAAGAGCACTGGATCAACAATCAAAGAATTTGGTCTCTGCCCTTGATTTTATTTTCACCCACCTTCAGGGGTGTTTTAAGGGCAGTGAAAACATTTAGGGCTATTTTGAAATAACATGTACTACAAACTTCATTTATTATTATTATTACTATTATTATTTTTGAGACAGGGTCTTACTCTGTTGCCCAGGTTGGAGTGCAGTGGCAATATCTTGGCTCACCACAGCCTTCCAGGGTTAAGCAAACTTCCAGGGTCAAGCAATCCTCCCATCTCAACCTCCTGAGTAGCTGGGACTACAGGCATGCACCACCACACCCGGCTATTTTTTATATTTTTTGTAGAGATGAGGTTTTGCCATGTTGGCCAGGCTGGTCTTGAACTGCTGACCTCAAGATCTGCCTGCCTTGGCATCCCAAAGTGCTAGGATTATAGGTGTGAGCTGCCACTGAACCCAGACTCAGTTATAATTAATGTGCTTGATCTCATCACATTGTGAGTGACCCAGGTCAAAATCTGTATGACTGCATGAAAAAAAGGCTATAAATACACACTAAATACACACAAATCACCACTCATTTTGACTTGTTATTATTTCTTTTTTTTTTCTGAGACGGAGTCTCGCTCTGTTGCCCATGCTGGAGTGCAGTGGTGCAATCTCGGCTCACTGCAAGCTCCGCCTGCCAGGTTCACGCCATTCTCCTGCCTCAGCCTCCCGAGTAGCTGGGACTACAGGCACCCGCCACCATGCCTGGCTAATTTTTTTTGTCTTTTTAGTAGAGACGGGGTTTCACCGTGTTAGCCAGGATGGTCTCGATCTCCTGACCTCGTGATCCACCCGCCTCGGCCTCCCAAAGTGCTGGGATTGCAGGCATGAGCCACTGCGCCTGGCCTAATTTTTGACTTTTATGATACCTTTCCCCTTTGCTCTTCCCTAAGTCTGAACTTATTTGTCATTTTGGATATAGTAGATATAAATTCATCAATAGAAAAGTGACTATATAATATGTATAATGAAAGAGATACGTATTGTATTTAAAACAGGATCAAAGGTTATAAATTTGACTTGAAAGACCTTCCTTGAAAGGATTCCTAGCGCCCAGAACAAATTGTAGTAAGTCACAAAAGAGGTTTTAGAAATAGTTAATACCTGAAATTCATCCTTGAGATGTGAAGAGTTAGTCTGGGAGTCTATTCTAATCATATCAAAATATGCAGCTTTAAATTCACAGACAGGTATGGCAGTTTCTCCACATAAGCAGGCTTCTAAAATGGCATCATGAATAAAAATGTACTGTTCCTACCAAAAGAATGAAAAAGAAAATTTTGTACTAGTTTTAGTATCACTTTTCTGTCATCAAAGTTAGGAAATACAGAAAATTTTCTCTATATGGAAATATGAATTAAAACACCAATATTTTTCTATATGACTCAGCTAATATTGATTACACATGAAAAACATCTCTTTCGGTTGAGTAGAGTATATATGAGAGACATCTACTCTTTGTTTGCAAAAAAAATAAAAAATAAAAAAAAGTCCACTACAGGTAAATCTACATACCTCTGTCTGGACCATATTAATACGCCGAGATCTTAAGGCTTTGACACAATTGTAAATATCAACAACACCCTCTCTTTCAGCCATGTCTAGCATGATGTCAATCACAATGTAGCAGCCAGTTCGTCCAGCACCAGCACTGAAAAACAATTAAATTTAATGAATTGTAAGAAGCATGTTAGTCTTCATAACCTTAAATAAGGACTTTTTCCACTGTCAGATAGGTAGAATCAAATTGATTTAACAAACTGCAAGGCACAGCACTTGTCCCTGCTGTGTAAAAGCTTATTAATGTACAAATAGCTTCATGCAGAGTATCTGCTTTGGTATAAACTAAAGATTGGAACAAGAGTTCTAAATTATTTTCAAATTGAAAATAACACTGTTTAAGTTCCACACCTCTCTCACAATTTTCATTTTATGTAAATTTAATACACATAATTTCAAGTTCATAGAATTGATCAAGTGGCAGATTCACGCTTCAAAATTTAACTCAAGATTGAATATTTTTAGATTCATCTAGTTGTGTGTCCTCTGGCAACAATGTGAGAATGTTGGCTCACTCACTGTCTTCACCTCTTGTAAATACCAAGGCAAAAGAAAATTAATTCCCAAAACTTTAAACGGGAAATCTGAGGAGCCACGCTTCACAGGAAATGCAAATGGTGGGGGTGGGCAAGAGAATGACGGTTATCAAAGGGGAGGAGAGTAACAGTGTAAAGACTATTTGAATCATGATCTGAAGAGAAATGAAAATGAATTATTAGGTGTAGAATATGATTCCCAGCAAATCAAAAGGCTAGCCGCTATCTTACTGTATTTAATTCTAAAGTTAATTTTTAAAAATACTTTTAAAAAATTATATTTTAGTCTTTAATTGGCAAATAATAATGTATATATTCTTGGGTACATAGTGATATTTTAATACACATAATGTAGAGTGATCAGAAAAGGGTGATTGGCATATGCGTCCTCTCAAACATGTATCATTTATGTTGTGAACATTCAGTATCTTCCTTCTAGCTCTCTCAAACTAAACATTATCATTTACCAGACTCATCCTACAGTGGTACAGAACACTAAAATGTATTCCTCTATCTCACCATATTTTGTGTCCTTTAATTGTAATATACTGTGATTATTTTGCAGCTGGGGAATGTTTCTCCAATTTTATATATAGAAGTCAATGGGGAAAACAAAATAAGGATTTTTTGCGGGGAGTGGGGAATTCACTTTGTAGTCCAGAGATGCTTCAGTGTAGGTGGAAAATGACACTTCTGTTTCAAGAGAGTATCTGAGAATCTTGGAGCATTTCTGAAGCAAGCAATTCATAAGAAAGTAAACCTCTCTGATAAATCAAGAAATTCTTAAGTTGAAAACCTATTTATCTCATTTTCTAAGTGCTTAGATAGGCTAGTAACATTATTTCCTTGTTATTCAGATTTGGTCACTTCTCTTAAACTCACTGTTCTTTTAGAAATTTAAGCAAAAGATATTGTGGCTATCTCTATTTATCTTTGTCCCCTACCATCTTCTCAATCACTGTTCCCAGAGTTGGAGACAGGAATGTAATTTAAGAGTACATCAGATTTCATGAGGAGGATTGAAAGGAAGTTTTTTTTGTTTTCAGGGTACATAGTATCTGATCCTATGGGACGTTTTACCTTTACTTCATTCTCTGCTTTTTTTCCCCTCTTTTATACATGGTTATTTAAATCCTGAATAGGTTGGATTTTCAGAAAGCAAAAAATGCTTAGGTACAACCTATTATGTAGCTTGGAGGGAAGAGCGTATGAGAATGGTGTGCAGCATCATTTAGGAAACGCTTTTCAGATTCAGTACTTATTTTTCTGGTCACACCTCAAAATGAGGCCATGTAATTTGCTTTTAGTATCTCTAAATGCTTGTTTTAAGAGAAGTTTCTAATCAGAAGAAAGTCTGGATATAATGCTCGTGTTTTTTGGCATATATTTGCTGAATCTCACTGATGCAGTTTTCAAGGTCCTCTAATGTGAATTCTTTAAAAAAAATTTTTAAATAGCTGTTTTGCAGCACAAATCCTTGCAATTTAGGCCATTTAGTAACTCTGTATGTCTGAAATTTAGTTTTAAAGCTGGAATTCTATTGGGAATTTTCTAGATTGGCAAGAAATGTCTATTTCAACCTAGCATTCTATACAATATGGGATTTGCAAAAGTGATAAAAACAAAAAACACAGATGTTGCCATTAAAAGGCAGAGTTTCTATACTTTAAATTGTGGATAACACTACACGCATTAGGATGAATGTATGTATTTCTTAAGTTCCTGTTTTATAGACTACTTACAGCCAACTTTTATTTTATTGCTGTTTTACTTTATCTATAATACAAGCAAGCTGGAACTTCGTAAGCACACATTAGTTTTTGTGCTCAAAAGCCTTGTCTTGATACTCTAAAAAAAGCTGATTGCATACAGTCAATACCATTTGGACCACCACTTACCTGCAATGTACAACGATGGGGCCAGCACTGGGAGGGTTTGATAACTTGACTCGCCGGATAAAGGAAAGCAGCCCTGTAGCATGGTAGGGCACTCCATGGTCAGGCCAGCCCGTGAAATGGAACTGTTTAACTTCACGGATTTCATTGTACCCCCTCTGTGCAAAGATGGAAAGAAATGTTTTCAAAAGCCATTTTAATGGCCAAAATAAAGCCATTAAACACAATTATGGGTACAGACCCAACTGACAATGATAACAATAAAACCTTTACGAAAGACTATGCCTTTTCTTAAAAAAAAAATATAATAAAATGAAGGCCTAACATGGACTAGGAGCTTACCTTTATTGTCAGACAACTGCCAAAGAAAGAAAATTATAAGTCTTGCTCAGTTCTAAAAGTCTGGGTAAATTTTATTTACTTTGACAGCTTGTTTCTTGCTGGGAGTGACAACACATTAAATTATTAGGGGAAAAGAAGGAAATGGGAAAGCTAAAATGCTGCCCCATTGACCCAATGCATTGAGTTCTCAAGTGGTGTATAAAAGCAACTTTCCAGCTTCTCACCTCACAAAGAGATTTTAATGCCTTGCTTATCCATGTTGAAAATGGTTTTGAAGCATAGCATGTAGGGATTTTCCAGGACAGTGCTGCTCTAGATTGGCTTGTGAAAATATACAGGCAGCTAAACTGTTCTTTGGGCAAACTATTTTTCTTAGCTCTGTGAAATAATTCAGCGCAGTATTATTTATAGTAACAAAAATACAAAATGAAAGAAGTGAAGCATCTGCTGTTGTGCTGCTCTCCTATTGGGTTAATTTAAGAGAACCCTGTAAATGCACATTTCAAAGCTTTTTCCTTCCTTTTTTTAGAAGAAGTCTGTAGACTGAGGTAGCACAGCTTGGAAGGTATAGATGAAATATTGCCGAATTTATTTTTAAGAACTCACATTTGTAGCAAAAGGAAAAAAAATCCCACTATAATCTATATAATTCAAATTCTACTGTGAACTATCTGTGAACTATCAATCTCACTTGTTCAATCAGAAAAGGTAGACACATTACATGAAATAAACAAAACTGAGAAAAACAGTTTATCTTTAGATTCAATCTTATACAAACCAATACCACCAAAACCTTGGAAGTTAGTGATCATTTCTTAAAGGTTTTCTTAATTCCAATTCCTAGCACAATACCCTACACAAAGCAGGGATCATCAATAAATAACTGTAACAATCACAATGATAAGCATCACCATGGAATCACCCCAATGGAAAATCACCTTTTGCTACTTTTCAACTCTAGTGAGGAAGGTCAAAAATTGTTTCATGGCCTGATTTTAGGTAATACTTTACTCCTTCTATATTAATTCTTTTATTGGAGTTGCTTAATAGGCCTTGCTCCCTTTATCTTTCTATTACATGTATAGGGTTTGCTCTTTTTAGTACATTTTCATATGTCAGCACCTATTCCCTGATTTTTTTTTTAATTTTTCTGAATGATTTTCAAATATGTGGTTAAAAAAACAACCCCCCCCATTTTCTTGTTCTAAATAACAAGAAAAAAAAATCCAATGATTTTCCAAATAGGATTGTATTAAATCCATACAGTGATATTAATATCAAGTACTCCCATATTCTGGAACATGGTGCATGTCTCCACTCATTCACATATTATGCGTATCCGTAAGTACACTTTTGTGTTTTTATTAAATCAGGAACTATATCGTTCTTATTAAATATATTCTGAGATATTTTGGCACTTTGTATTTTTAAAGATTATTTAGTAATATTTTCTTACTTCTGTTTATCACTAATATAAAGACAAGCTATAACTCATGAATATTTATGCAGATTTGGTCATTTAAATAAATGTTTATACATCCCATTTAAAAATATTATCCATACTTTTCTTGGTATAAATCCTTTCATCTTAAAATAATTTGTCTTTTCTAGTAGTTACACAGTTTATTCCTCTTGCTGCCTTATTTCATTTGCTAAAACTTCCAAAAATGTTTAATATTAGTGACACTGATTATCCACATAACATTCATGATTGTAGAAGCAGTAATATAATCTTTATACTAGTTTTTTATGATAAATGAATAGTCGTTAGTTCTTCATTCCTTAACATGGCTGCTACTAGGTATTGTTGAATCACCTTTATCATGTTTAGGATGCCTCTTAATTTCCCTAATTAGAGTATTACTATAAATATTTTGAAAATAAAATTAAATGCATTAATCTATTAAAGTCATACAGTTTTGGTACTTTAATGTACTGACATAATGAAATATCCTGTTAAGATTTCCCACTACAGTTGAAATATTCTTGCATTCTTAGGGAAAAAATAATAGGTCATGTAGTGATATTTTCTTAATTCACTACTAGATCCAAATTTTCAATATCTTATTTTGAATTTTTTCATGTTCTTGAATGAAATTGGTCTGCAATATGTGTGTGCATGGGGAAGAGAGGAAGAGGGGGAAGAGAGGAAGAGAGAGAAGAAAGACATCATGAAAGAGGGAATGAGAGCTCCAGAGAATGCTATCTTTATCTGATTCTGTTATCATCATTATGCTAACCTTTTTTTTTTTTTTTTTTTTTGAGACAGTGTCTCCCTCTGTCGCCCAGGCTGGAGTGCAGTGGCGCCATCTTGGCTCACTGCAACCTCTGCTTTCCCAACTCGGATGATTCTCTTGCCTCAGCCTTCCAAGTACATTATGCTAACTTTTAAAACATAGATATTAGCTATTCCTTAAAGTATAAAGGAACTTTAACTTTAAAACCATAGTGCAATTTTAATGATAATAACAATCATCCTATTTTCTTCTACCATCTATTCATGCTTCTAAATCTTTGTGACCTAATTTTTGAGAATCAGCATTTGTCAGAAAATCCGTGTCCTAGACTAAAAGTTATATTTTTAAGTTTATACATAATATTTTCCATAGCTTTTCTAATAGCAAGTATAATGGCTATGTCCCTCTGTGTTTTCTAATATTGTATATTTTCATTGTACCTCATTTAGAATTAATAGTGGTTTAATTACTTTATTGATCTTTTCAATAAACAAGCTTTTTCTTTTTTCTCATTTGTTTCTTTTTTATATTTAATTTTTCCTTTGTTCTATTCTACTTTTTCTGATTTTCCAATGTTATAATTTTTCACATGATTTCAGAGCACATTTCAAAACAGAAATCACTTATGAGTATAAATTTTTCTTACAGAATAATGAGGTAAATTTTGATGTAAAACTATTGATCTATATAATATAATTTTAGTTTTGAGGAAATCATTCAAGGATTATTCAGAAGAGGATTTGGTGACTTCTAATAGGCTAATTTCTGGGGTCACTGGTCAGCAGTTTGTCATCATTGCTTTCTATTGGATTTTGGCAATATCTCAACTTTTTGTTATGTATTCAGGTTTTCCTTATTACTAAGTTCATCATTGATTTTTACAAGACTTGTATGAACTTAAGAGACTGCATATTCCACATTTCTTTTTTAATAATATGAGCTAGTTATTCATTAAATCAAGCTTAATGGTTCTTTCTGAAATCTCCCATATCAATTGCTTATTTTATTCTACTTGATTTGTCTAAGAAATTTTCATACATATTTTACAGTTACAATAATCATGATTATGTTGTTCTGTATAATGCTATTTCAACTTAATATTTTGCCTAATTTTTTCATGTTGGTAGGATAACTCACAAGTATTTTTATAAAATACTATGCAATTATTTCTCTATTGTTGGGCATTTATGGTTATCTATAAGTTTTTAATACTATAAATGAAGTCATTGTATTTTAAATAAATTCCTTAGGAGAGATTCATGAAAGTTAACTTCTCAAAGGACATAAACATTTTAAAGCTCTGGAGATATACTGTTTTATTGATTTAAAGAAGGTTTGTAGCGATTTAACTATGATCAGTAATGTATAAAAATATGTTTCAACATACTCTAACAATCAATGAGGATTATTCTTTTTTAAAGTTCTTGCTGATTTGGAAGGACAAAATGGTATATAAGTACACTAGGTTAAACATTTTTAATAGGCTTGTTAACAATTGTGTTTCTTCAGAGATTCTAGTTTTTTTTTTTTTCTTCTACTGGTATTAACATTATAAATTAAGGACATTAATAAACAATCGCAAGGTTCTTCTGTCTGTATGTACCTTTGATATTTTTTTGTGCCACAGGTAATTTCACAATTTTGTGTGGTCAAATCTACCAAGCTTTACCACAAAATGTATTTCACTGTTACTATATTTCACTTTAGTCTACTACACCAGCCACCTTACGTTATTCTTTGCAATGTAACACTTGGAGTGATCCTTTTAGAAATAAAATTCAGACCATGTTATCCCTGAGCTCACAAACCCTACAATGGCAGCCTAACTCAATTTTAGTATGAACTAAAATCATCATGGCCTACAAGGCACCACTTATCCAATTTTGTGATTTCTCTGCCTTCATTTTGTATTTCTTTCCCCTTCACTTATGGATATCTGCACATCTTGGCCTGGTGACTGTCTGGCATTCTAACAGCTTTACACATGCCTCTAGGCTTCTGAAATGACTCTCCCCTCTGTCAGAAACATTATTGCCCTGGACATAACCCGTCACTCCCTCACTTATTTCAGGTCTCTACTCATATTACTTTCTCAACAATGAGTTTTTCTTTGATCATCCTTTCAGAATTGTAAACCATTTCTTACCCTGCCTAAATAATATTCCCTACTTCCTTCCCCAACATTATTTTTCTCTATATCACTTGTCATGATGTATGATATATTAGTTGATTTATTTATTTTTATTGCTGTCTTAATTCAATCGGCTCTAAGATCCACACGAGGCGATTTTAACATGTGTCCCAAGGTTTAGAAACATGTCTGGCACATAGTAAACTCTCAAATAAACATTTGTGGAATGAATACATGAATGAATGGATTTTATAGCATCATCAAAACAGAACTTGGCAAAGATTTTAAGAGAAAAAGCAGTTTTGATATCACTTTTTAAAATAGAATTTTAGAGTACTTACCCTTTCCAGGGTGAATGTCCTAACTACATATTCAGCAAGTGGTTCCATTTCTACACACGTTACTTTGAAGTCACCATAAACTTCAGTATCATCAGGCCAATATTTATAGCATTTAACCTAAGTGACAAAAAGAATATATAGACAGACCTGAATATATAATACTAATTAGCCAAGGTGATTTAATTCCAGCAATAACTCCTTGTCACAATTAAAACTCAGTTTAAAAATCTATAAATGAGAAAAAAATCTATTATACAATAAACAGAGTTTATATAGTCTCACAAAAAATATACAAGCCTGATAATGCAGTTAGATTCCAGTACAAAATTAAAGCTTATTTTATTACTCAATGAGAAATCAAATAATTTTTCAGCCAGTCAAGGTCTACTTAGAAGTACTCAACTAAAATGTTGTGCCTATAATTTTTTTTAAACAATTGGATGATATTCTATTTTGAGTGTCTTACATGTTGCTTCTCAACTATGTTCATTTTTATGACAAAAAAATTCTTTTTCTTCCTCTTACCCGGCCAACCTCAACTAAATTTGTAACCATCACAATGCAAGCAGATTGTTCTTGCCAAATCATCCTCCAGAAATCATACACTGTTTCATGAACGGGACCTACAAAGAAATTAATTTGAATATTATGTTATCAAAGGAATTTTGTAGTTAGTAAGAAGTTTAGCTAAGATAAGAAGCAGAGTAAACTAAGTAATTCCAAAAAAGGTCTAACACAAAATGTCACTGAAAATACTTAAATTCAGTTCATATCTAAATTCCCACAATAGGCAAAAACACAGGCATATACAAGTTTTTTTTTTTTTTTTTTCAATTTGCCCTCTACACTTCCCAATTTAGAAGAAACTATCACTAGTTTCTTGGGTATTTATATTTGTCACTAAGTCACTTTAATGCATCTTCAAATATGTGTAAAAAATAGAACTCTTATACCACCATCAACCAGACAGCATATATTACCAATTAAATAAGTGCCCACTATTTATAAATAGTGCATGTTTAGGGATCAATAAAAACATATCCTTACACGTAAGGACATATCCTAATCTTATCATAATATCTCCAAACTGCAAAAGCATGTGCTGGGCTGTTCTCTACCGAATACCATAAAACTGAATATTGTTCACCACTATGGTCGATCTTTCTAACTTTAAAGAGTACACAACTGAACTCAATTACTCCAAAGATATGTGAAAACACAGAAAAATGACCCCTGTTAAAAGAGTAAACCTAGCTTTTGTTTTACTTTCCTTTTATATAAAAAAGATGTACAGGTTTCTCTTCTGAGGGCCAGTAGTCAATTTAGAGAGATAACTACAGATGCTTTTTTTGTTGTTGTTATTTGGATACTTTTACTCCCCAGTGTACCACTATAACAAGATCTCTCTACTGTCTTATTATATTCCATGAAGAATTAACTTGACTAAATTCCATCTCTTTGTTTTGTCTCAGTCTTGACTCGTCAAAAAATTGCTCAGTATAACAGCTCATTATAACAATATTGGTCTTGGGTACTACTAACAAACTTGCTGCAAGAAGACAGGCCTCTTATATGAGACTTCTTTTTCCTTTCCTCAAAAATGAGTAATTCCTCTGACTGGCACTATTGACTAGTGCTCTGACCTATCTGTGTAACAAGGATCAAATCATAATAACCACTACCAGCTTTTCTTTCACTTTTAATTAAAAGTAAATCAAGCTTAAATTTATATAAGCTTTACACACACAATAAATTTGTACTATACAAATGAGTAAGGAGCAGTGTTAATCAGAAGGGCTGATTTTTTTGTTACTAAGATAAAATTTAAAAAATAATAAAAACCACCACATAGATGAATAAGCAAGTTTGTTTTTTCTATAACATTTAACAAGGCAAAGTTTTACCTTGGGTTGCAATGTAATGACTTGGTCTCTGGTAGCCCTAAAATAAGAGAACAAATTAGTTATCATTTTACATCAATATCAGAAATAAATGAATGAAGGCATAAAAAGATGAAGACAACCACCTGTTAAGATTAAGTTATAATAAAAAGTCCAGAAATGAGTAGTGAACACATAGTTCACTTCTCAAACCTATGTTATCTGAAAGGTAAACATAAAACAAAAATTAAATATTTTAAAGGCTCTGATTAGAATATATATTGTATAATTGATTTTTGTTTGCCATGGAATAACCTCATAGATTTTGTTTGGTTTCACTAAAATGTTTATGCCTTCATGTAAATGTTTAGTCATTCATTCCTGGTAAAATAGTGTTTAAAAATATTAATTCTCATTTTATCATCCAAAAGTACAACACACTGCATTACAAATGGACGAGGACATATTAGAACCATAAAAAAATAACAGAACATTCCAATGTTAGAGCTGGACAATGCATGTGTGCATCCAATCAAAGTCCTGCTGAGATTTTTAGAGAATATTCCTGTTCTACAACACATTCAGGGATATGCAAAAACTATTTTGTGCGTGCTCACAATGTTAATTTACACACACATAATTATAGATACACACATATATATAGGGAAAGAAGAATTTTTAAAAATGCATCTTATCTTGAGCAAAAATTTAGTATTTTTTTTTTCAGTGTGCTAAAAGTTCTGTTGAGGAGGAATAGATTTTTAGTTGCTTTCAATTGGTTTGAATAACAACAAAGCATAAGTTGTAAAAATGTTGATGATATGATCCTAAGTTCTGAATTTGTTGCATATTTACCAATGAGCCTTAGTAAAAGTCTGTGGTACAATTTGTCCACATACTGGTGTGGGCAACTCAATACACATATAAATACATGTGAACTGAGATCTCCAACCTAAAATTTAATAGCATGAGTATTACGTTATTGCAAATTTGGAAGATTTCAAATTTTTAATATACCACAATGTTTTATGGAAAATAGCACAATGTTTTATGGAAAAATTTTTCCAAGCTTTATAAGTATTTCATTTCCACTTCTTAAAAAAAATACCAATTGCAGAAGTATATACTCATATCGTTTACATATAATGAACTAATGGGAGAGGGAAAATTATGAAATTGTATAGAAATAGACCAAAATACACTGGGGTCTTAACAGAAAGACTAGATAACAAGTCTTATTTAAAATACAGTCCTACCATATGAACCATGAAATAATTTTATAACAAGGCTCCAGTGTACAAGTCCTGGCAGAAAACCCAGGTTAAACTAAATAGGTAAGAACAATTACAAATTTGTCATAGAACTGTTGATTTTTTTATTCTAAAAATTAGACCATTAGCTTAGTTTTACATAATGATGTTTGATAAATTTATATAATGAATAAGAGTAAGATTATGATCAGAAATTGAACTCATATACTCATATACTATGCTTTATAAAATATATTAGTTCAACTAAATACATAATGACAATTCATAACTCTAAAATGTGAACCTAATAAATGTAATGAAAATTATTTCCTATTTATGGAAATTATAAAATGTTGGGTCCTAGGTTTCATACCTTTTAGGTCTATAGAAGTATACATATGCTACCATTCTTAATACCTCCACCTTTTGTCTTATAATTATACATATTGTGAATCAATTTAATTATAGCACACCTAGATTTTAATTGTAAAAAAAATAGTTGAAGTTTAAAGAGTGCTAAATATATGCTAGGCATTGGGCAAAATGCTCAACATGCATTACTTCATTGAATTCTCACAACAAAGTGATGAGGTTAGTACTGTTATTATTATCCCCACTGCAAAGATAAGGAAACTGAGGTACAGAGAGAGAAGTAACATTCCCAAGATCTCCAGGGTGATTATGAACCAGGTCTTCCTTATAGGTAATGTAATATATTGCCCTTTAAGAATATTCTATATTTTGTTTGATAATTACTTCCTTTAAATAAAGAATTTCCATGTAGATATGTATGTAATCAAAATTTAACAGTGAAATATATGATCAAAGCAACCTTTTTCATTTCTGTGATTCGATATATATGTGTGATATGTGTATTTTACAATTGAAATTTAGTAATTATTTTGCCTGAGTAATTTTATTACTTTAAAAGCCAATACAACACATCACAAAATAGTCTCCCTACTCATTTTAACGTCAGAAGTCAAATGTAAAAAGTAAAATTTCAGTAACACTAATACACATCATACTATCCAGCTTCTCACATATGTTTAGGGAAGGGTAAGAATAAAAGCCAGAAACAGAAATCATCAACAAATAAAACTCGAGTACATAATAAACTGTCAAAGCTAAAAATGGTCCTGTTTTTCTACACAAGAAAAGGGAAGGTGGTAAAATAGATCTTTACGCATGTGAAAGAATTACAAAAAAACGAACAGAGATATATTGTATGAAGCTAATTAGGTGAAGCATGCAGAAATAACTAGTAGTAACAGAGCGTTAGTAATAACTGTAATTAAGAATGTTTGTATTTATAATAGGGTGCTGTTATTTACATATAGTGGTACTTACATCCCTGTACAGCCAAATCTACAGCCCAAACCAAAGTCAGGTGTGAAAGAAAGCACAACAATGTCAGTAAGTACTAGGACGCAGAACAAGGAAAAGTGTACAGTTTGTACTTTTATATTTTAAAAAGCTAGCAATCACTTTATAGGTAATAAGCAAAAAGGTTCATATATATAAGCCAATAAAGTAGACATACTTAACTATAAAAATACTTACATCAATATAGTTGGCATTAATATAATCTGAGGAAGGATCATCCTCTACGGGTTGCAAAATCACTCTGGAGTGATCATCTAAAATTTTAAAATAATAAATATAAGCTGTTAAATTTTCCCCCTGTTCTGAGACAATGTCATTGGTAGAGACTAAAGAATTCAGTGGTTGCCCATAGTCTATCCATAGTATACTACTACCAAATCAGTCCTTTGAAGAAATATAAGAATGTTAGTGAACCTTGCTATTACACTTATAATATTGTGTGACTTAAGCTTCACTGACTTGAACCTTCATAGTTAGTGTTTAGGAGACATGAAATTGTCTGGTAAGTAATCATTTGAGTCATAGAATTGTCTACATAACTGAACTAGACTTAACTTCTAATTTTGCTTTTTAGTCATGACTTTAAACGGGTTGGATCCTTTTCTTCTGCACTTTACAGCAAATGAGCCACAGAATTAAAAAGTGAATTTTGAATTCCCGCTCTCAGTTTCTTACTCCCTGAGAATCAAGGTTAGATTTTGAGCTATTCATAAGATACTTTAAAATAATTTAAATTCAGAGCAGAGTGGTCTAGGTAAATCAGCAGCTAGTTACAAGTTAAACTATCTGCTACTTTCTTTACTGATCCTGTGGTTTTGTCTGATAATGACTTTATTATCCCGTGTATATCTTGAGGACTTACTCAGGAGGAAGTCCCTAACGATAAATAATATCGAACAACTGGAGTTTAGACAGTGGCTCCAAGTAAGAATTAAAGGCACGTGGAAAGAATAACACCCCAATCTTGAATATGTTTGATGGAAGTGTTAAAACAATTTATAACTGAAAAGATCTTACTTTTTCATTATCCTGATAGTCTCAGCTGTTCAGTAATACCCCATGCATTTATGTACAAACATGAAATCAAACAGCAAGTTATCTCCACAGGGTGAAGTGGCTGAGTCAATTTAATTAATGAGGATGATGACAATTTCAGAATCACTGCTAATAGCCAATGTTGTTTTTGTTTGTTGTTGTTGTTTTTTGAGACAGAGTCTCGCTTTGTCGCCCAGGCTGGAGTGCAGTAATGCAGTCTCTGCTCACTGCAACCTCAACCTCCTGGGTTCAAGCAATTCTCTTTCCTTAGCATCCTGATTAGCCAGGATTACAGGTGCGTGCCACCAAGCCAGCTGATTTTTGTATTTTTAGTAGAAATAGAGTTTTGCCATGTTGGCCAGGCTGGTCTCAACCTCCTGACCTCAGGTGATCCACCTGCCTTGGCCTCCCAAAGTGCTGGGATTACAGGCATGAGCCCTCAAGCCTGATTGTAAATGCTGTTTTAATATTAAATAGATTACTTCATAAACAGACACACCACTCTCTGGGATTTTTCTTAAAGTTTAAAACCATATAAGCATATAATATTTACATTCACCAAGAATTGAATGGGAACTTACATGCTATAATGTTTCCATATCGGTTTTTTGCTCTATTTTGATCTTTTTTAGCTACATCCCAAGATGCTGACTGTCCTTCAAAAAAGCTCTGGGAAAACAAAACGAATAAGCAGACTGAATTTAATTCCTTTTTAAAAATCAGGTTTATCTGTTCTGAAGCCCCAAATAGTAAAAACCACTTTCTCAGAGAGGAAAGCAGTCCTACAGTAGTAAACAAGTTTCATTCTCAGACCTCAAAGCCGCTTTGTTGGATTCATACTTGTTCATCTTAAATTGGATTCAGGTCAAATTAAAGACAAAAAAATAACTTTAGAGAAAAAAAATGGACCTTGAAAGTATTTTAAAATTAAGATCACTATAATGAGAAGTAGAAGTAGCAAAGTATCATTCTTTTCAAAACGTATTGAATGATAATGCATCAAAACTGCAAAAAAGCTTTTAATGAGTATCTTTCAAGTGTGCATCATTTAGCATTTATAACAGTAGAAAGAAAACCTGCTTCCCTCCATAATTATTCATTAAATTGTGTGCAATACATCGCATCTGAGTTTCTTTGAAGATCATGAAAAAGAGTGAGTCTTCACAACAAGGGACCATATAAAAATTAAAATAGAGTCCCCTTCTTCAAGAATCTGGGAACAGAAGAATTTGTTGACTAGTTTAATTACTATATGCAGCAATTTAAAACGGGTGTAAATTTCATTTTGCAAAAGAACTTAAACTTTGCTCAACACAGGAAACGGGGTCTTCAAAGAGCCCAGTGGTCTTTGAAGCAAGGTACACAGGAGTACACATGAAATGAACAAAAAGAACCAGCTCTGGCAGAATAGTCTAATTCCTTGTACTTATTTTGTTACCACGGCAGTGTTTCTGGCATATATCTAAAATCAACTTTCAAAATTCAGAGATAATTAACACTCCTAATTTAAGGTATACAGGTAATCCATAGATAAAATATGGAGTTTAAAAGATTCTTCATGAAATTGGATGTATTTTGGATGGCCTTTTCAAAGCAAAATATTACTTGGATTCTTTCACTTTAAATGTGTGCATACTGTGATGTGTTCATGGGTAGTGGACTGGCTTCCTTCCATGCCCCAGATTGGTATTTCTCAGTAAGTGAAGGGTGGCAAAGGAACTATTTTCCTTTTGCTATATTATGTTTGTTGGAATGTTTGGTTTTAAATCATTGCCTTTGTGAGATAAGTCCTGGTATTTTGGTTTGAGTAGGAAGGGGAAATAAGGTTGGAAGAAGAATTTCCCACTGCCTTCTTTTGGCTTCTCAGTGTTGTTTACTAGATTTGCAGTGCTCTATTTTTTTTCTCAGCCACCCTCAACCAATAATCCATAAAATTAAACTGAGAGTGGCAAGTAGTATATTTAGAGCACAAAGCTTCATCTGATTTCTCAACCATAAGGTCAACAAAAAAAGGGGCAGAGAAGTACCTGCTACTTGATTCATTCAAATGATAGAATCTGCAATGGAACAATGGGACCCAAAGTGTATTGCTACTTGATTTTTGCATGGGGAGATACGCAAAGTGTTTTTTTTTAATACCATAGTAAAATAAATTACGGAATCCAACATTAAAGATTCTTGTAATAAATTTAGACTCATATATCTCTGGGAAGTGCTTTTTTCCCCATTCCCTTCCCATTCCCAGGTACACACACTTGGTTGTACACTCATAAACACTAGATTAGAGAGCCTATAGAACAATCCCCTCCTTGTTGTGTTAAAGAGAGGGAAAAAAATGCTAAATTCCACTGAGTATCATAGTTAAAAATCAAATTCAATACAGTATCAAAACTTATTCACCTCATATTCCTCTTTGAACCCATAGCTGTCTGATGTCTTCATGAGATTAATGTGCTGCAGTAAATCAGCTACCCTGATGGCTGGATGCAGCTGTCCTGTCTGGTAAGGGGATTCCGTCCCCTCACAGAGGTAGCGAGGTACGTCTAGAAGGCGACTGGACTCTGCTGTAGCACTGTGGTTCTCATCTGGCATTTTTCAGATTTCAGAAGATTAAAAAAGAGACAAAGTTATCTTGTTTAATATATGTATCTATGCAATGAAGATTTTAAGACCTTAAGATCTTTCTGATAACAAGAGGAATTCTGGGAAAGAAATATCATACAGTATAGGCCTAGACAGTATCCCCAAAGACAAAACTCAAGGTTTCAGGTGAGAGTATATTATGTGTATATCAGCAAGACAACAGACACTGTGAGATGCAGGGAGACATCTGATAGACCTTTTAAAAGCTTAAGCGGGAAATTTTGCTGAGTTGTTTTTCTTGCATCTGTAGTCATAGCAGTATAGAGTGGGACCAGAGGACCCAGCTGTCAAGTGGAGGTGTTTTCATGGTCTATTAAGTCGACCAAACTCCTTCCCAACCATATCCCAACCTCCCTCAGAGATACCCGATCTAGGTGACCCATCCCCAAAGGGCTGCTCTTCTTGTTCTCGTGGCCCTATTCTCTGGGGCTTTTTACCACAACACACTCTGCACTGGGAAACATGGGCATTCCACATGATCACCCCCTGATGCCACTCTGTCTGCTAGCCAGACTACACGTGCATTTATATTCAACCTCTGCCGCCTTGACTTATTACTGTTATTGTTTTTATTGCAAATGTATTTTGAGTCTCTTGGCCACGCTGCGAGAGAAATCAGGGCGCGCTTCTGGAGCAAAATGTGGGTTCCTCCCCTGGAAGTCTTTTCTGGCCCCTCCAGGTTGAGTTACAAAGCTCCTTCTTTATGTTCCCATGACCTCTTATTCATTTTTACATGTCATTTCACTTGCTCTATATTTTAATGATTTATCTACTTGGCTATTTTCCTCACTAAATTCTGAACACACAGTACAGAGACAGAATATTTTTCTTTCTATTCCTAGTGCCTGATGCATAACAGTAACTCAATAAATATTCCAATGAATGAATTAAAAAGTCAACTGAATCCCTGACCACTCACAATTAAGCGTAAGTCCCTTCCCAATTGTGTTATTAGCTTAAAAAGAAAAGAAACTTTAAATTCTTTTTCTGTCATAAGAAGGAAGAAAAGAACAAGAACATTTTTGCCTATGAAGAATAAACAGTACTTTAATGACCGAAGTACTAAACATTACAACGAGAAGCATGCTCATATTTATCACATTTAAACTTACCACTTAAAAAAAAAAACAAATGTTTTAAGGGGTGTTACTTTGAAAAGCATTATACCGTCATACTCATTAACAGAAGAGAAAATACACTCTTAGGGGAACTTTTTTTTTAATGATAATGCATACTGTAGAGAATGATATTTAATTAACAGATAAACATATTTCAAGTGCTAGTACATTTGCCTGTTCTATCACCAACTCTACAAATAGGATATAGCAAAAAATGAATTGTTGTCCCCATGATAAACATTTTTTCTTCCTGGAGAAGGGAAAAAAAAAAGAACCCTACAATCAGATTTGTGTGCCTCTGTAATTTAGCTTGATTGCATTTATCTTTACTCCCTCTTATTAAGCTGAATGCTCTTTTTGTAGCATTCATTCCTAAAAATACACTGAATCAAAAAATCCCTGATAGATTCTGTTGTGACCTAACCACTCAAGTGAATTCATGTCTTTTACTCAGATTTTGCCCACCCCTCTACACAAAAACATTGGCTAACAAACATGATTCATGAGAGTTTCCTGTTCTCACTATGCGACCAAAGTCAATGGATCTACTTCTATTAAAATATTACAATCAACAGACCGACATAAAGAATAAATACATCTCCCCAGAAAAATTAAATTCAGAAGCAATTGATTTGGGCACTGCCACAGAATATACAGTTAAGGATGAGAAGTAAAGAGAACAGATAACGTCAGAGAGGCAAAATGCAATCACTCAAGCTGGAAGAAGGTAGCCAGGGCTCAGTGGAGCAGCCCCAGAGCTCACTTTTACCTGCTGGAGTAGCAGAATATTTACAATTGAAAAAGGCTCAGTGAGAAACACAGAATTCACCCATATTCCAAATCTTACAGATGATTGTGTCCCAATATAAAATAGACAGTGCCTTTTGTTTTGCATTAAGCTTTAATACAGTAGTACAATGAGCAGTAAGGTCTTTAAAATAATCACATATGCATTATTAATCTCAATACATTTCCACCTCATTAAACCACCTAATAATGTGACTAGTAGTGAGGGTACACGTACTAATCATTATCCTTATTATACATTTAAGAATAATAACTTGAAATATATCCTTGATTGAAAGGTTTTCTAGAGTTCTTTGCAATACACTTACCTGTTATAGGAACTTAAACCCAATGAAGCAGTAAAACACAAAAACCAAAAATACGAATCAGTATGAAAAGTTTCTAAGCCCTTTTAAATCAGTAAGTATTAGCATTAAGCAATATTTGAAGTGATTTCAGAAACTGCATTATAAATACAAAAATGATTGGATGCAAAACTCTAAAGACCACAATCCTAAGAATGATGAAAAATACAACAAATCATTTCTACATCTAATATGATTAATGAGATATTTAGCTTTTAAAGAATGCCAATATATTTTTAAAACCAGCTTGACTTTCAAAATTAAATAAAATGTGTAATGAATGTTTATATAACTAGACTTTATGACTCTATTGTGTTAAATCTAGCTTTCCTTAAACATGAATATCCTTTTTCACAGGGAAAATTACTATGATAATTATTACAGTTTATAAAACTCATACACATCATCTAATTTTCTCTTTATAATAAAACCCCATGAAAAAGGTATGGTAGGAATTATTATACTGTTTTATAGATGGGAAAACAAAGATGTAAGGTATTTTTATGAGTTCATATTGTAAATCCACAGGAGGACCCAGACTTGGACTTTACATATGTGTAGAAAATTATTGTAAGGAAACTTTTAACATTTAGGCAACTAATTTTTTTCCAATTAGTTCTCAATATTTTAATTGAAATTTATTTATTAACTTTATACTGACAGCATTCTACAGTGCTTAGCAGAAGATGACATTTTCAGAGGCATCTGATGTATCCTTAATGATCCCCAGTGATCATGATTTATGGCTCCTCCCTGTGTGATAAGACCACTCCCTGGGGCAAATCCCCAGTTCACTTCCTAACCATTATTGGTGGACATCAAAGGGAGAGTGCAAGTAGAGATGAAGAACATTGACTTTTCAGATTATTTTAGAATATATATCCTTTATAGTAATTATAAAATTATAATTTTAAATATTTATTTTAGTAAATAAGAGGTATATTTTACATAACTGAGTTAGTTGTGTTGTTCCAAAATATTTTAAAAATGCAATTGAACATTGATTGTATGTATAACAAAAATACAAGCATAAAATATAAGTTAAAGTTTTTTGTTCACAAGAAATGTTAAATATAAATAACAAACATGACATTTGGGAATTTACAAGATATATTTATTTGATAGTTTCCATATTTCTTTGGTTAAAGCTTAACTAGAAACGCTGGTAAAATTGATATGGAACCTGTAAACATACAGGCAAGCTGATTACTAATCATTGGTGTATAATTAGTCAAGGAACAGGGTACAAAGTGAAATGAAAAATGAAACCCATTCCATTCTTAAATATATAGGTAGGTTTAAAAATTAATATAATTTTACATCTGTAAAAGCGTTAATTGTCATTAGTAATAGCATTGTCTTAGATGTTATACAGTGGTAACCCAAGTAGCTTGTTCTAAATTTCTTGAAAGATAACATTACTTATCAGGTAAGGTTCATGTAGAATGTCAAACCCCACATCAAGATTTTAGCAACTTTACCTACATTAAAACATTCTTAATAAAGACAAAAGCTAGAGCAAATGCACATAATCCTAATATTTACTTGTAAATTTGTTCTTTCGTGGTTATAAATTGGGAGGATTTAGAAACATCCCTTTCCATTAGGTAGACTTTTACATATAAACTAGTTATTCAGGCAACATTGCACCCTGAGATGTATGCATTTGGCTTCATTCTACTAATTTTGACACATTAATATTAGTCAGACATTAAGGGCCATGTACTTTTGCTCCAAATCTAACAACCAAGAATTGAAGAATACATTAAATAGCATGCCTTGCTAATTTGAAATCCACTAGATCTGATATTGGGTTGAACACAGTTGCTCTCTTTGATAATACCATGGCTGTCTATTTTCAAAATCAAGCTGCCTCCTGCACTGTAAATAATCTCTATGTGGGCAAACCCATGCAAGGAGGTGTGATCCATGCAATGAAAAGATGATAAAGATTTAGGGCCTCACCTAACACAGCAGTCGGTACAAGTGGATCATTGGGCACTGCAGGAAAACAAAGCTCATGAAGGAATATATTGCTCTAAAATTGTTTTTTAAAATCTTTTTTCTTTAAAATAGATTTATGCTTTCTTAAGAAATATAATTATTAAACTTTCTCAGATTACTGTATTCTGCAAATGTAAAATTTTCTCTCTCAGCTTGGGTTATATCTAAACATCAAGAGAGGTGTATCTATAATTATGGTTCAGAACTCTGTTTAATTTAAAAAGCCAGAAGATTAAACTTGACATTAAAAAATTAAAGAAAAAAAAACCCATGTATTTTAGATCTATCAAGTGTAAGGTATTTAAAGAAATAATTATCTCATATTCATTCCAAATAATTTTTTTCAGTTATCTGTGGGAAATAGATTTAATCCTTTCTCTAAGTTCATAAGTGGATATTTATAGTTACACTGCTGAATTCAAACTTTCAAATAAGGCCCTAAGGTAGGCAATAGATAGACAAGTTTGGGAGGCATGAATGCTTTCAAAACCTTAATTGATTAAATATTAAATTAAGTAGTTAAAGAGATGATACATCTTTATTTTCCGCAAAACTTACTTTCAACAGTAATAGTATTTTACATTTTTCTCTATCATTTATCTATAGTGAAATAAAAATAAAATAGATCTGAAAGGCCCTGTCATGATTATAACTAAATTCCAAAATGACTCATGTATAGCATCCTTAACTACTAATTTGGTATACATATATACATAGAAAATGATGGGCTTCATTTTAGATCCAATAGTTACTGAAAAATTTCTCCAAGCTGAACAATTCAGAAAAAAACTTCCCTCTTTACATACAAGCATACAACCTACAAATACTTTGTTTTCAATCTTACTATTACATATGTTCATAGTTTGTACAGGAGATAATACTTATATTGTTTCTTTGCTTATACCCATGTTTTCCAAACCGGGGTGAGCATATCTCTGCGATCTGAGCCAAATGCCATAAGGCCCAAGTTATACAAGGCCAGTATACTCAAGAGATATACCTGATTTGCCTGCCTCAAGCATCAGTTTTACTTGAGGATTTGAAGAAACAAAGTTAGGCAATTTCACTTAAATTTAATTAACTTAAACAGATGCACTATAGAACAGAATATAACATTCATATGAAATTTGAAAATAAACAGTAATATTGATTCTGGGGTAATTATTAAAATCATCTGCTTTTAAATGGTACTTCAGTGGAAATATTTTAAAAGCCTTGCCTTCATAGACCAACATTAGGAATTTTCAAGACAGATGGATGGATGAATTTCACTATGCCTTGCAAAACCCCCAATTCAAGTATACTTTTGGACTTCACACCAGATACTTAAGAGCATGTAGACTAATGTTTCCCTGAGTTAACTTTTTAGTATTGCAATTTTCCAGGAGTCTACAATATACTACTTTAATGCAATGATTTTACCTATGTCAATAATTCCCAAAAAGAATTACTGTTTCCTCTTATCGCAAAAGAGACTTTCATCTTACACAAAGGAAGATGCAAATGGAAAAAGAATTATAAATTCTGACATGAACTAACTTTTTGTAGGCAATCGTGTATTTCCACTTAAAGCAATGACACGTGCTATGGACTGAGTGGTATATGTTTGGAATATCCCTTGTGATACAGTAATAAAATTCATAGAGTTTGAAGTTAAACTAAATCCAGTATCAATCTTGATGAGAATCCTTCTTGTAAATTCCATAATATTCTCCATCTCTTTCTCTTCTTTCTAGCTGCTTCTCCCCTCACTTTCCTACTCTCTCTCATTACTCAAAAGGTATCGTGTAGAATTCAAAGTGAAATGAGTTGTAACATCATTTATTAAAATTTTAATGAAAAACTTACATCTTGGACTAAAGTTATGTTGGTCCATGAAGGTGATGGAAAGAGGATCTTCTGCATGCAGAGTGCTCTGATCAGCATAACTTCGATCCATTGCATTCACCATGTGAGTCATCTCCTGCCGGGTATTCCCCATGGCATCTTTGCGTTTTTTAGCAAGTTTGCTGCCAAGGCAAATACAAAAGGGCATCCTTAGTGTTTGAGGCTTGCAGGAGAGTTAACACCAGCAATAAATAGTCCAGGTGAGCCCGAGGATAATGTTACAAACATGGTTTAGAAACCCCAAGCACTGGTCACAATTTCAGGAATTAAGTTTGACATTCAAACAATTATATTTGCTCCTTGCTATAAAAGTATTTTGTCAGATGCATATTTCAATATTCAAGCTGTCAATCCAAATCTCTCATCATTTCCTGTTCTCTTAAATATCATAAAATATAATTATATTTATTAAAAGCAAAATAAATACCTCCTTACTAGAGTAATTCAATAAATATTCAAGCTAAAGCCAAGTTTTGATACTCCTGGGTAATTAATTCTTTTGATCAACTTTTAGTTCCTTTTAGAAATAACATGACTAACTTTTCAAGTCTGTTTTACTGTAGCCACCAAATTAAAACAGACAAAGACATGTCCCATTCTTCATTCTCTGTGCTATTATTAAGTAAAAATGCAATGTGTAGCATTAACATATTTAGCAATATATTTATAACATTAATCAGAAGCTAATCTGAAGACTTTTAGAATAAGCCACTGCTAGAAAATTTCAAGTACACATGAATATATGGGATTAAATCATATACTGTGTAAGAAAAGTAGTGAGGAAAGTTTTAAAATATGGTATGGAAAGACATGAAAATTATCATCTTGGAATATTCACATGGTCAAATATTAAAAATGTGTTTTCTAATTAGAACCACATGGCATACTATCAACTAACTACAGCAATGCTTTATAAATGCAGAAAGGCATATGATTTAAGGGATTGGCTATTAACAGCATTAGAATTATGAACTACTCAAATATTGGCATGTTTATCTTACATATCATGGATGTAAAATATATTTTAGTTCTTGTGAATGTTACACATGAAACATCCAAGAAAAAGGGCTATTAAAGGCACATAAAATATTTAAATCACACTAACAAGAAAATTTATGTATAAATAAAGGCACTCTAAAAGCTTGTAATAGGCAAATTATGTTACTAAGTTTATGGCTGCAATTCATATTGCCTTGGAAATCTTTAGTTGTTTTAAGAACACCATTACCTTCACTAGATTATAAGCTAAGCCATTCTTTTCTGATCCTCATTAATATCCAAACCAGAGTAAATGTACTACAAATACTACAAAGGCTCATTTAAAAGATTGAGTTTATGTATAAAGGCTTTTCCTTTACAACCTTAATCTAGCAATTGGAGGACTGCTCCAGTGTAGGATATATTTTCTCTGAGAATTACAGTACTTGGCCTCAGGGCGGTACATACACAACACACACGACACATGTACACAGCAGATCTGACACTATGTTGTTTAAGATAGTCATAAGCTAAGATTCGAGGATGCAGATGGCTATTTTAGAAATAATAAATAATGATAATCACAGAATCACAGTATTAGTAATAAGAAAACAATGACAAAGTGTAACAAGAACTATTACCACCACCAACATAACTACCACTACACCATCACCACCATCATTTATTAGCAACATTTGTGCTATACATTCAAAGAGCTATTAATCTTTTTCTAGACTTGAGGGTCAAAATCCTTTATGAATATGTAGGTTCAGACAGGTAATATAAATGAGTGCTGCTGTCAGTGGCAAGATACCATAAGGAAGGGTAATGGCTGTGAAGAACTGGAAAGCAGTTTAGGGGCAACTTGCCTAGGGGCATTTGATCCCACTGTTGAACTTCTCTCTGGCTTAATTTTTTTTTTTTAAAGACAAGCCATGAATCTGATTGATGTTAATTTTCTTGATTTTCTTCAAGTGATTTTATTTTTTGAAACAGTGTATGGGCCACATGAAACATCATAAGGTCACATTTAGCCTATGGACTTTCACTTTCCAAACTTCCCACTAGGCCATCATACAAGATGTTTGTTCTTCAACCTGCAACATTTTTTTGCCTGTAATATCTGGCTAAAATCTGTCTGTTCTGTCTCAGTGTAATAGATACTTCGTCAGGGAGGGTTTATATGCCTGACTCCAAAGCAACCTTTCTCAAATTAGGCTAGGTATTTTCTATACTACCACATTCTTCCCCTGTAATGAGTGTTATTGATTGATAGGTGCAAATATCTTTCAATTGTTTTCCCCACTATGTGCTCCACAAAGAGAAGGATGATCTGCATAGCCTTGGCACTTGACGCAGTGTCTGGCACATAGCAGGCTTCAATAAATACTTGTTGAATAGATGAATTAGGCCTGTTATATACTTGGCACTTTTCATTTGTTAACTCAATTCTCAGATCAATCTGCTGAAAAAGGCACAAGGATTCTAATTGTATAGATAAGTTCAATGAGGCTCAGGGGAGTTAAATAACTGGCCCAAGGTTATTTATCTAATAAGCAATGAAGAATGACCTGGTTCTAAAGGCTAAGCTCTTACGCTGTATCTGGTTGCTTACACTTTTTAAATTGACACATTTCAAAGTGGCACTACTTACTCTAGCAGTTGAACACTAGTTAATATACACCAGTATTTACTCTAGCAGTTGAACACTAGTCGTTACAAATTTCAGCAAAATATATAGAATAAATATTTTGCCATTTGTAAATTTTAAAACAGCAAAAATTGCTTTAGGAAATAACTTTCAATCTTTGTTTCTGGGATAAGAAGAATAAATTCATTTCTCAAAAAATATGAGAGACTGAATTGAATAAAAATAGCACAAACTGAAATTTGGATTCAGAACAATGTTAAAATTTTGAAGATGAGCAGTTCAAAGCCAATAGAAAAGAAAAATTTAAACCCTGAGGCTTTACTTTAAAATATGTATAATTTATATGTAGTTCATGATTGGAGAAAAACAATAAGTAATGAATTTGTCAAATGCATGACAGGTTAAAATTTTCATGCAATGAAGGACTTTAACTTTTCAGATTCACAAACCTAGATTAGTTGACAAATTATGGGGAAATATGACCTTTGTAAATATCTGCCAGCCATGAATTATCACCTTGGTTTTTATACCTCAATCCTCACAACAACCCTGTGAGGTAGGCTTTCATTCAAGTTCTTCTAAAACAAAGAAAAATTGACATCAGTGTTAAGTGTTTTGATCAAAAACAGATAGTAACTATGACAATGTCAATGAATATTAGCTCAAAGATCACATCTGGTTTTCTTTTAAGCTCTTCTCTAATTTATATCTATTTTTATCTTTAAAAACCCCTCTAATCCAGATAAGCATCACTAGGTATGGTTAAGCAGCCTTTAAAAGCATATCTCTGTGATAATATCTGTAGTTATGATTAAAATTACCAGTAGCCCCATGTACTATAATAATATTAGTATAACCTGTTACGTTGTCTGGAACACAGAAATGTTGTCTATCCACCAAAAAAGGGAATCTCATTTTAACATCAGAGCTACATCAATGGTTAATGTTAAGCTTATTGACAGTCTCATAATTAAATACTTAGTGATTCCAGTATGTTTGATGCTTTGTCTCCTCCTGAGTAACTAGCATACATAATGTGCACTTCAGAACAGTTAAGAAATTCGTTTTGCAACTACTTTGAGTTTGACAGATGTGCAAATGACTTTCATTATCAAAGCAGCCAACAGCACAAACTTCTGCAGGTGGATGTATGGGTGGGCCATAAAGGGGGAAAGTGCTCCATCATTGTATGAAATGGCACAGTTGATTATCTCTGGCTTCATCAAACATAATTTAACAAGGATATTATGATTCATCACAATAAGTTAGGAGCACTGTTAGTGTACAGCTACTTGGTTTAGCAGATTTTAGGAAGCAAAATGTTTATAATATTTAAAATGTTGGCAGAATTGTGTTATAGTCATGGAGAATGGAGACTCTTATAAAGGTTTTGCTGTAAAGCTAGCTTGAATTTATCTAGTGATTTAAATGCTGTGGGATATGTGCCCCAAACATTCTTAATTTCAATCTTTAAACCTTGAAAGCTGGCGGATCAAATACTGGTCAAGCAAAGTCCAAGAATGCTTTGCTGTAATGTTCCTTTGATTTGGATGAAAAACTACTCTGGCATATAAGGTGATAAGCTGAAAAATGACTCAGGAAATAGAATGGACCATCTTCTCCATCCTTATCCAAATGAACATATCATGCTTGAGTTTCGGAAGAGTTACAGACTCTGGAAGAGAAAAGGAGCAATGTGATGCCTATATCTGTTCCTAGTTGACAAAGGTTTTTTTGGCTGTAGTTTTAGAAAACATTTGTCCTACTTAAGTTACAATAAACTCATTTTTTTCCTCTAAAAAGAATTTTTATTTCTTTGTTGCTGCAACACCATGGTTTTTCTACTTTTTTTTCTTTAACAAAAGCACAATGATTGCCTTAATGGCCGGACCAAAGATGTTCTGAAGCTATAACCCATCTTGGATTCCTAGAAATACGGAGAAAGATGTTATCACATGCAGACCTGAACTAATTTGCATCCTGTAAAGGCATTTTGAGTGTTCCATAAATACACCACTTGGCTCATTTTGTCAGACATGACAATGCTACATAAAGATAGTGATTTGTGAGTTACAACCACTATCTCTTCTTTACCAGATGAGTGAAGTGCCATATTGCTAAGATAAGGTACAGGTTTAACTTTAGTAAATAAATTATGTTTTTGGCTCTAGACTAAAGCTACTTATGGAAATTATAACTAAATTAAAAGTAGCTGGACATACAGAAATACAATATCCCTTTTTAAAAAGATTGGCAAAATAGGTGATAGATAAAGTTTATAGTTTTAGAGTCTGAAAAAACTTTTTTTTTGAAATGTCACCAAAATTGCAAGCATTCTGTTTTGTTTTTGAAAAGGGATACTGCATCCTTAACACACGTAAAGTTGTACATCACCCATTTTCTACTTACAGGTAGTAGGAGTAAGAATAGTAGCTCCTCCTGGCAAGCAAATCACAGACAGTGGAAAAAGAGAAGCAATGGTGAATGAAAAGCGTGACTCTGTCACATTCAATAAAGCAGAAAAATGTGCGTTAAAAAATAAAATAAAATAAAATAAAATTCATGTTTTTTTTGCTTTGCATTTCAATTTGCTCATGCATTGTTAGTTTTTTTTGCCATGCAATTAAACAGACAGATATGCAATATAAAAATAAAATTTAAAATACATAATTTGGAAAAAATAACATGCTGGTATTTCTTATTGCCAAAATATTGAAAAATTAAATGGATTGTGTATTTTCAACATGCAGTTAAGCATAATATCATCCATTATCTAAATATGACAGATGGAACAGCTGTGCATAGAACTTGTGTACTATATAGATTATTTTTCTTTAGATACAAAACATAAAGATCTATTATGTTAATATATCATATATACAGAATAACACCTAAATTTCTACAAACAAGTTATTATATCTTAATGGTACATAGGTATATACATATGTTATGTGAATATACATATATACCATATACTATATATACACAGATACTTCTACAGTAGATGCATGTGAACATGATATCATACACAAACATTTACTGTATTGAAACATAATTTCAAATTTATGTTTGAGTTATTAATGTGTTCATGCTGTGCATGTAAAATATAATACACAACCAATGAAAAAATGGCATACATTTGGAAATAATTGAATAGCGATTAAATTAAAAAATGACATTGCGTTTTGAAAGATGCAATATCCCTTTTCTTAGCCTAAAAACTTACTTTATACATATCCTTAGCTGTAAAACTTTACTCAATTGAATTATACACCATTCTTTTGCAAAACAACCAAAAAGACATGGAACTGTTTTCCGCATAAGAAATATATCTACATGTATTCATCCCAGTGAGGGATAAAATCAAACTTAACAATTTCCCACTAAAATGTAGATAAGAGGCTAAAGTAATTTCCTTTTCCATTATTTTTATTATAAATTTATATATTAAAAGGGAAACATTTTATATTAATAGTTTTAAGCTATACTTGATGATAATATCCAATGCAATGCTGCTATATCTATACTTTTTTATATGTATGATAAACATACTTGTGATTAAAGCATACATGGTACATGTGTGACACGCTACATATGAGTAAAAGTCATTACAAAATTGCTTTGGTAAGTAAGAAATTCAAGTAATGTAGATATAAATACTATATATTAGAAGGTAACATATCTAAATAATGAAACCTGGTCTATCTTTAAAAGTGCAGCTTTTCCTGGGTATAAAGGTGATGGTGAGGAACAGAAGCAAAAGCCCTAGCATACTTTCTATCAAAAGACAATCAAAGCATAATTATGAAAGCTCAAATGTTAAATATTTTAATAGAGAGGCTCATTAACTTAACCATTTAATATATGAACCAGAAAATCAAGTTGTCATATTACACAATTTTAGAGAGCTGTCAGAGCATTTTACCTTCCCCCAAAATCTTGCTTAGTGATGGTTTTAGCATACTTTAGGAGGTTAATTTTTCAATTTTTTCATTATTGCTAAATCAGAGGCCTGGATAGGGAGAGTTATCAAGACAAATGAATGTTTTCAAATAAATAACAAATAAAACTGAATAGTTTAGCCCAATTCTAGCTGAATGAGGATATAATCAGAAGCCACTTTCATGTTTACATCCAATCTGAAGTGACCAGAACATTGTGAAGCAATGTTTAGTTAACTTTACTCTCTAAATTGTTTACTTAAGTCTCCAAATACAAATTTAAACTAAACAGAGACATAAGGTCTGAAGGTTACATTTGGTGATTTTTATTGATCTTTACTGGCAAATTTTTATTGCTAAAATACTTAAAACTTTTGCCTCACATATGATGTATTTTCCAACCACAGAGGGAGACAACAGCAAGAGAAAGCACTATTTGGGGAAAGCACGTATGTAGCTAATTTAACACAAAACACTATAATGCATACCTAATGTTTCTAATGCAGATGTGTCTTCTCCAACATATATATCTCCAGGGGATAATCGTAAAGAGGCAATATATTAAAATAAACTCTGATGGAATCATTAAAACATGTAGTATGAGTCTTATCTATAATGTTAATGCTTTATTTCAAGTATAAAATAACTATAATAGTAAACTAGATAATTTAATGTAATATAAGCAACATCACTTATTATATTTTTCAATAGAATTCACTGATCACAACCACTTCTATACACCAAACTATTTTAGGACTGTACTTTTGCTTATAAATATTTTTTTTAAAAGTCCTTCCAAATTGTAGCATTAACCCAAATACATGATGGGAAGGATTAGAGTGCTATATTAGTTTCCAAGACAATGCCTTACAGATTTATGGCATTTTATATAATGTACAATAGCTCATATTATAAAAACTGTGTACTTTGAAATGCTTTTCATCAGGAATATACTTTGGTCTCCAGAGCAAAGCTCAGTTTAAATTCCAGTAGGTCTCAGTATCTTCAAGTAACGTCAGAAGATGGTGATATTAGTTGATATAGTATAAAAAGTTAATGTTCAATTAAAACAATTTACTCTCTATTTTAAAAGGCTAAAATTTTTAGTCAATGAATATTTAATGTACAATTTTACTAAATAATGTTTATATTCTTCTCATATCTTATTTGTAGCCAAGAAGTAGAAAAATACAGAAAAAGAGCACAAAATAATTCCTAGACCACAGCCCAAGTATCACAATAAATCCATATTTTGCCATTGTTAATAATAACACTTCAAATATAAGATAAATGATCTCAAGTACCTTTGCATTTGAGACATTTAAATTCGGATATTAATTTCTAGGTCAACTTAACAAAAAGCATATGTTTATATCCAAAATTAAACTGCAAATAACCAAATAAGAATTTATTAGAAAGCATGTCCAATAGACTCAGGTGCTGACAACATTGTTAAAATTAAAATTTTCTTCCTGTTGTTTGTTCTAATTTAAAGGATCTTGAGAAAAACAGGTTTTTAAAACCAGTGACATAAATGGTAAGTGAGCGGGACAGGACAATATTAGGCCTTACCTCTTTTTTACAATTAATATGACAACTAGGAGAAGGAGGATGAACACCAAAATTCCAGCACTAATTCCTGCTATTTTCACCACTCTGTCTGTCTGCTTGGCGGGATCTGGGATCACTTCTGGTTCTTCTGTTGCTGCTGCTAAATGGATAAAAAAAAAAATCAGTTACTGAAAGAAGCTAATAATCACAGAAAAAAATTATTCCCAGTAATTACCTCCAAGAAACACAACTTGTTTATTGTATATTAATAAAAATAATCCCACAATGTAAATACAGAAGCATGCTAAAATACAATACGAGATTTAGGGTTGAGGTAAGGAAATCTTTCTGACAAGAGGTTTTGTTAACACAAAAAATAAAACAAACCTCCACAATAAATATCAAAGAGAATGATGAACTAGTTTTCCCCAAGTGTCCTTGAAAGTCCGAACATAAGGTTGTCTAGCAACTAGTACATTGGAAAGAGATGGGGTCAGATTTAGAGGTTTATCAGTCAATTCAGCAAATGCTTCTTGACTCAAATGCCAGGTGGTATGCTTGGTGCTTTAAGGCAGTATTAATGGTACTTGTCTGGGACAGAAGGGGTTAGGTTAAATAAATGCCTAATATAACTGTTAGAAGCATGTGTTTATGATTTAATATATATAATTTGAGATGAATAGTTGAGTTGGCACAAGAGAAGAATAGGCAAAGAAAAACAGACACACCAAGGAATATTTCAAATTCTTTTATTAAATAAAACCCAGATAATAAAGTTGGGAAACAACTTTGAGAAGATGATTATTTTTAAAAACTTCTTTGTATGCCCTAACTTCCTTTCTTTCTCAAAACCATCTGACTACTCATCATACACACAATCAATTAAAATTACCAACTTTAACCCTTTTACAAGCCCCAGTAACTCTCTGAGGACATTTTCCTTTTACCTCATTTACCTTGAAAATTGACAAGGAAAGTATTATTATCTACACTTTATCGATAAAGGAACTGAGGCTTACAAAGATAAGGATAGTTTATAAATTGCTCAAGAGCAAAGAAAAAATCTACTATATCTTCTGTCTTTTAACACAAAATTTCTCAATGTCTCCAGATCCATGGCTCCTACTGCTAAAAATTGGTGTAACAAGAGTCCAGGTGATTCTCAGGATTAGACACATTTGGGAAATTGCCTTGAAGCACCCAACACAGCACCTTGCACTTGGAGTCAAGAGATGGTGTCCACATGAACAGATACGCAAAGAAATCTCTAAACCTAACCTCATGCCTTTCCAGTGGACAATCTGTTAATCAGCTCTTAAAAATCAACCATTTGTCTACATTCTGATCCTTTCTTCTTTACCTTCTCCTCTTGGCTTCTCTATCCCCCTCCCCGCAACCCATAGTTCTATACATCCAAGTATCTGCTCCACTTTTCCCAACAGCCACAGATTCTGCCAAAAGGAGACTGTTGAGGTTAACTATTAATTTCTCAAAGTAAGAAATCTGAAAGAATAAATATATCTAATGTAAATATCATTATATAAAATGGTAATTTAAAGCTAAACTGGTGAGAAAGACATAGCTCAAATAAAAGCGTCAGAACAGTTAACTTTGTAAAACAATTCACTATAACTGTCTTAATTTATCTTATTTCAATTGCATAAAAACTTCTCCATAGACTAGATTCACTAACTATTATTCTCAAGCAGAAAAAGCAAGGCTTTGGCTGGTGTATTTTGGGAAACTAAGGGAGATTCCCTTTCTGACTTGACACTTTCCATATATTCCGGCTGTAGGGAATTTCTAACCTCATAATTATGAACAGAGATATCTTAAGGCTTTCAAATTATTTTATGGTTGAATTTACCAAAACATGTAGTAAATATGTTAGAGATCTTTTCCTTTCCAGGGCGACGTTAGAAATATATACATATATCTATATCTCTATATATGTAGATATTGAAAACAGGTGGAATATATTACAAAGTTGAATGAAAAAACCTAAAAGGAACATAGTCATTGCTTGTAACTCAAATTACATTGGTTTGCCACAGATACTACTTCAAATAGGAAGAGAAACAGAAGTTTGATGTAGAAATCTCTAGAAAAAAAGCTTTAGTCCATGCAACAAATCATCATTATTCACTAATCAAAGACTACTTTCTTCAGGTTCTATGAGACACTTGGCTTTCAGGGGCTAATGATAATGATCCCTTAGTGATTTTCTGACATATCTGAGTTATAGAATTAAATGTTTCTGAAAATTCTCTGGAAGAGCAGTTCTTGCTTAATGAGGTCAGTATTTTTCATAACAGTTTAATTAAATAAAATACATGCTATTATGGTATAATTTTCTAAATATATTTTATTATGAGTCGCATATGCTACATTTTACAAAAATCTTCAGAGCTGCTAATCCCTACCAGAAGCAGATAATGTATATGGGTACAAATATAATATATATAATGTATGTAGGTGCAAATATAAACTATCATCATGAAGTAAGAACAGCAGCTTTAATACTATTACCTAGGTTTAGTAATAAAATAACAGAACTGACATGAGGGTGATGGGTAAAACAATTTCAAACTCAGGGGATGAAGACATTTTTAAGATCTTACAAGTAATATAGATAGGTTAATGAATTCATGTAAACATATTTCCAGAAATAAAAAGCCAAATCTGAAAGTAATTTTTTTAACATAGATAGAAACTAAAACGCTTGCAGGTATACCAAGAGTACAAAGCATTGAGACTTTCATAATCTATTATGCAAATCAGAGATAATAAAGTCATAATCTATATGTCTTTGTTAAAAACTAGACTTCAATTCACATTTACCAAGTGGTTAATAAAGAAAAAAAAGCCCATTAAGTTATTTATTTGAGTTGGGTAAGGCTGCCTGTCTGTCAAGACAATTCTTGTGCCAAGAGTTGTTCACTAATCTTCAACATAATTATTAAACTTAAGTATAGAAGTCTAATCAAATTCTCCAAATACATGTGATTTGGTGGTTGTTTTCCTTGACTGTGAATTCTCCTCAAAGTCTTTAGCTGTGGCATTTATTACTATCATTACTATTACTACTATGAACAGTAGTTTTTACTAAATATGTCTGTATATATTTATTAGTTTGGATATTTTAATCACATGTATTTTTTTAAGTACTTGGCTTGCTATAACCGAGGAACATAAATATCCTATTTAAAATCATTCAAGCTTAGAAGATTCATTAAAGGAAATACAAGCAGTAGCCCCTAAGTCAGCATTTTCCATTTTCTTCAAAGAGAGCAAAAAGCTATTATAGTGGTGGTGCCCCTGAGTTCTGTTTATAATTTCTGCACATACACAAAGACAATGTGGAGCACCTTTTTCAGAAATGCTTTCCTTGGCCATAAATCTTTACCATTTTTTTTATCTGCCAAAGAGCATATAAGGAATCCCCAGTGTTCAGAAGCCAAGAGAAGCATAATTCTTTGTACAACGAGAAAAAAAACTAAGGCACAATTTTATTTTTATTGAGCAAATTTCTAGGATGCATTTTGGGGGGTAAAAATAGCTAAAGTGACTTGATCAATTGTGTCCTTGCTCCCACTACTTAAAAATGAAATAGCTTTAAAGTCACACAAATTTACCTAAAAAATTAAAACTATCTTAATAGCTGTGATTAGGCAAACTAATTCTTCTACTTTCATAATGGACATTAGAGATAGAAGCCTGTAAGTACAATGTATTAAGTAATCTTATGGTGTCTTCAGAGACATTATTGTCACTCAAATTCTGCAAATCCTCCCGGCATTTCATTAGTGCTTTCTTTCTTTTTCAGTTATAGATCTGAGAAACTGTTCCCACTCACTTCCCAATCATTCTTTAAAATCCTACCGGCAGGCTTATGTCCCCCATCCACACCAAACCACCATAACCAATGTTTCTAATGACTTGCAAGTTTCTGAATTCAATGTGTACTTTTCTAGTCTTATTTTATGTGACCTCTTAATAGCATGTGACATTCCTGTCTACTCCCTCTTTCTTGGAACACCCTTTTCCTGGGACTTCCATGAACTTGGGTACCTCCTAGTTTTCTGAGGACTCTGGTCTCTCCTTTCCAGATTTTTGTTTGCTCATCCCTTAAAAATAGGTGCCCCTTTGAGTTCCTCAGGGACCTATGCCTCTTGACACTGTGTTCCATACTTTCTGGCTTGGTGATCTTATCCATTTTCATCTCTTTAGTTACCATCCTGATAACTGATCACTCTCTAATCGATATATCTCTGACCAAAAGTTGCAACCCGAATTCCTGACCCATGGAGTCATGTGATTAATATGTCTTCACGTCAATGTATGACAGTCACCTTAAGCACACCATGTCCAACCCGAACTCATAATCTTATCTCATGCCAGTTCTTTTTCTAGTGTATCCCCTTTCAGTAAATGGCAAAACTATCCATACAGTTCTTCAAGCCAGAAACCTATGCATCATTCTTGAATCCTCCACTTTCCTTATCTCTAGGATTAACATTTATCATCCAAATTGGGATGCTTTTGAAGGAAAACAAAAACTGGAATTATCTTGGGCAAACTGGAATGCACAGTCACTTTCTCACACAATTAGTTACAAAATTACTACTTCCTAAATATTCTTTGTCATCACTTTTCCCATCCCCACTGCTACTACCTTCATTCAGATCAGTATCCTCTCAGGCAGATCACACAGCAGCCACCTATGTTAAATCTCTGAATATACTGTCTGCCTGTTCCACCTCAAAACCCACATTGTAGCACACGGTATTTTCTAGGATTTCAACTGTATCATATCACTTCACTGATTAGAGCCCTCCAATAGCTTCCCATTGCTGTTAAGGTAAAGCCCATGAAAGCAAAAACCATATTTATTTTGCTCACCATTGAATTTCTAGTAGGACCTAAAAAGGAGCAACAGAACAGAAAATATTAGTTGAATAAATGAAAGACCACCACTAAGCCTGCCTAAGCTAGGTTGCACTGGCATATAGAAAATCAGTTATCTCCTTAAAAAACACAAGGATGTCTCTGATCAGACGTATCTCTTACTGTTGTGGACATTAACATAAGATGAACTTGATAACAAACATTTCTGAGTTGTCTCTGGAAATTTCAAGCCCCTTTGTTACATTCCTTTATAGAGCTAACCATTTCCACCATCTGTCACCACCTATCACCAAACCAATGTGCAAGAAAAGTCCAGTGTCACTGAAAGCACAAGGGATTGGATCAGCAAGACCCTGTTTTGATTCTTAGTTTGTTCTCTTATCTGTTGTGTGACAATGAGCAAGTGAGAATCTTTTAGAGTGAATGCCTTCATCTATAAAAAAAAATTAATAACATTACCCATCTTGTGTAGCTTTTAGGAATACCAAGTAACATAATGGTGTGAAAGGTTTTTGTAAACTAAAACACATGGGATAGTAGAAATAGTAGTAGACGCTGCTGCTCTAGGTAGAGATAATCTAGATGTCAGTTCTTTGGGTCCATTACATAGAAATGAAAAACTATGAATAGGAAAAATGAAATTACTGAAAAACAGCTTTTAAAAAATCTTAGCTGCCTATTATATAAATATACAATGACAGGTTTTGTAAAGCACATGTTATTTATTACACAGGCTGCCACACTGGACACCTAAACCTTATGGGTGTCTTGAAGTATGTATTATTTAACTCAATGATCTTTTGAAGTAATTTGGCTTCCTCATTGCATGTGATCTTATGAAACTTGCCCAGTATTAGATCACTGACTAAAACAGGGTCTACCAGAGATTTTACTGGTGAGAAAAGAGAGCAGCTAAATGCCACGTGCTTTAACAGTAGTTGGAAAATAATTTATTCTCCTTTAATAATGATATGGACGTGATCCAAAGATTTCTGATGTGGAAAATAGTGCAAAAGTCTATGAAGACTTTAAACAACTAAGAAATAAAATTACAGATTAATACTGCAGATATTGAAAATTAATTTTACACTGCTTAAGGCATCTCCTTCTAGTCTTAGAGTCTCTAAATTTGTTTTGGTTTTAAAAACACAGTTCAAAATGCTGTACAAAATTCTGAAGTGACAGAAATACTTTTTAAGAAAGCAATAAAATAAGTATATTTTAGGAATGTATATAATGGTAAAAAAAGTAAAATATTATTTTGTTTCATAGTAATGAAGAAGAAATGTTTTAATGTGCATATTAATTTTTCATCAAGCTTCCCACTAAATTCATTCAATTAGGTAAAATAGAGCGTTAGTGCACTGTCTTACTTCTTAAACACAGTTGATTCTATCTGCTTAGTTCTCTCTGAAATTGGTTCTGAATTCTCCACCCCACCTTCGACTGCCTTCAAGACCCAATCTTGTTTTTTCACTAGTCCTCCTGCTTCCCATGTTGGCTACCTCAGATTTATCCTACATATTACTAGTTGGATGAGTTTTCTAAAAGGTAAATGCGAAGAAATGACTTCACTGCTTTACATTCAAGAGGAAAAGGCAAAAGTTATGACACATACGGCCTTTCACAAGCAGGTGCCAATCAACATTTTCAACCTCATCTTCTGAGACACTTTCATTCATATACTCTTATCATTAAAATCCTTTCACCATTTCTCAAATACTCTTTATTTTAGGAGTTGGCAAACTGTGGTCCCTGAGTTTTATCCATCCCATTTTGATAAAACAAAGATTGTAAATATTCAGCTTTACAAGATAATACCAAACTATTACCAATTTACATACCCACCAGCAGCGTATGCCAACCCCATTTAAATTATATCTTACCACTTTGTATTATCAGCCTTCTTGATTTTTGTCACTTCAGTAGTAGAAAATGAAATGTAATACATATTTGATTACTACTAAAATGACCTTTTGAGATACCTGAAATATCTCTACCTGTTTTTTTCTCTGAAATGCTCAGTATATAGCTTTGACTGAAATTTGTATTACAAATATCTTCTCCTATCAGACTGTATAAGGGATGAAAACCATCCTTTCAAGATGTTAAAAGTTCATGGCTAGGACCCCTATTACAAAAGACAGATTAAGAAGAGAAAAATACAAATTTATTAATATAAGTTTTACAAGTCATGGTAGACTTCATAAGGAAATGAAGAACTAATGCAACAGTTAAACCCGAGTGTTTTTATAGCAGGTTTGATGAAGGGTGACGTTATAAAGGACTATGATAGGGCGAAGAGTATGAGCTAAGTATAGTAAACTGCAGAAAACTTAGCAAGGCCTGTTTGTTCAGATTCTTCTATGTGTCCCTTATCTTCGGAAAGAAAGGTGCTTTTTATTTTCCCCCCTAGCTATAAGGAGGACACTTCTCATATGAGGGTCTTATGATCTGCTTCAAGGGAAGGTCAGAGAGATCTTCCTGTTTTTGTCACTTTCTCCAACTTTTTTCAGGTTAAAATATTCAGTATGCCAAGGTGCCATATTTTGGGGTAATGTGCCCTGAAAGCCATCAGTTGCTTTTCTTCTTACTTTACTTATGGTATGAATAACAGTTATTAATTTTAATGAAGTCAAATATATCAATCTTTTTTTTTATGGTTAGGGCCTATTGTTTAAGAAGCTCCTTCAAAGCTGAGTTTTTCAAAAATCCTCTTTTTTATTTGAAAGTTTTAAAAGAGTCCAAGATGTATAGTAGAAAGTTGTTTCAGGTCCTCCTCCGTCCCCACATACATATCCAGTTACCTGTGCATAACTTTTGAATTGATCCAATGATCTACACAGCCACTTCTGTCCTATATCAAAATTACGTTAAGTACATGAGTCACTTTCTGGATTTTCCATTTTATTCTTAGAGGAAACATATTATTCTGTGCTGACAGTAAATGATTTCAACTACTATAGTTCTGTAACATATTGTATATATTATGGAGATATTCCCAGGCCTAGTTCTTTTCTTCTTGAGCATCTTAGCTCTTTTTTATGTTTTGTTCTGGGTAACTTCTTCAGATTTAAATTCTAGCTAATAAATTATCTCTTCATTTTGCCAAATCTGCTACTAAGTCCATCCAAAGAGTTATTTTTAAATTTGAACAATTATGCTTTCCCTTCCTACAAGTTCCATTTGGTTCTTCGTAAACGGATCTTTGTTTAGTTATTCCTGATAGCATCTTGTTAATCTTTATGATTTGCACTTTATTTCTTTAGAGATTTTGTACAAGGCTATTTGTATTTGACAATCCCAATACCTGCAGTTTTTTTGAGGATTTACATCTGTTGTTTCTGCTAACTCTCACTCTTGAAAGTGAGTTACTTTCAAGAATGCTTGGTGACCTTTGATTGTGAGTTAATTGCTTTATGTTAGCCTGTGGGAACCCTGCAGGCCTAAATTGATCATGCTTTCATCTCAAAGATAATTTACATCTCCTACCAGTAGCTATGAGGTGTCTCAGACCTCAGACCACCTCTGCCAGCTCCATATGGGAGTCCCAGGCTAGGCAACACTCTTATTACCAGTCTGAAGATAAAAGTCTCAAGGGCAATATAGTTTTAGCATCCCCCTTCAGGTATTACCAACCTCTCTTTCTGCCTGTTGCTCACTGTTTTCAGCTCGCTCTCACTCTCTCTCTCTCTCCTTCTCTCTCTCTCTCTCTATATATATAATATATAAATAAATATATATACATATATAAATATTTATACATATATAAATAAATATATATGTGTATATATATATATATATATATATATATATATTTGGCAGAATAGTGAGTCCTGAGATATCTCCACCAGCCACTGTAAGTCCAGCAATGTATCCACAGATGTGTCCTATCCAGGGTAGGACTGTTCTGCAGAGGTCCTCTGAGAACCTAATTTGCCAGGCTTCCAAAATGGGAAGTGGGATCATGGGCTTTTATGTTCTTTAGTGTTCCTAACACCTTTCCCTTAACTACCCTCTCACCTCTAAATACCAGTTAATCATTTTCCCATAACCCAAATAAAAATTGTATTGCAAATATTTCTCAGCAAGTCTACAACTCACACTAGGTCTGGAGCGAATCAAGGGCAAAGATATAATCTCATTCATGTCTTTATGGCTAATGATTTTTACATAGTTACCAATACATTATAAACTTTTAATATATATTTGCCCAATGAATAGGTAACATATTAAAAATGCTCATAATTTGTCAAGGTATGCTACTTATATAAGAGCATTTATCAACTATAATATACTGCTTAAAGTTTTAAACTTTTTTTGAAACAAATACATTAATGCTAGGGTTAACTGAACTAATTTATAAAATCTAAAACATTCTTTAAGAGAAAAATTCTGCTTTTCATAGCATCAGTTGGTAAAGAGCTTCAACATCTCTGGAAAAACACTAATAGTGAACATTCTTGTCAGGTGGCCTTAATTTTTTTTTTTTTTGATAAAACAAAACCATTAATCAGAGTTTGAATTCCAGCTTTGCCACAAGTTGACCTTAGGTAAGTTAACCACTGCTCCTCACTTCTTATTGGTAAAATGGAGATTGAGTCTACCTTCTAGATTGACTCAAAGATTAAATGTATTGAAACATGTAAAGTGCTAAGGACAATATCTGGTACTTCATAAAGCCTCAGTAAGTATTAGGGAATGTATAAACAGATTCGAATAAAGTTCTCTTTCTAAATCTAGATTTCTGCACCATAAATATTATAGCATCACAGAAGCAGCATTAGATGGAGGGAAGTCTACTTTCTAAAAAAAACAGAGATAAGAATCTGTTATTGTTTATCATTTAGTACGTATTTGTTGAATTATCTGATGGGTACAAAACATTGTACTAGGCTAAAAAACCAGAAAGATGAACAAGTGTTCTTCCTTTAGAGAGCGTATAAACTAGAAGAAGAATATGGTAAGTACTCAAATGACTGTACTTATTAGCATCATACTGCAATACATACCATGGCTACTGGTATTACAGAAGAGGCACAGATAGGGCTCCTCCACAGGGGGATGAATTTGTATCTGATTTCTTGACAATCTAAAACATTTCTTAGAATCATTCAACAAAAAAAGTCCAACTCCAGTTTTCAAATAAAGAAAGACAATCTCAGGAGAGGAAAGTGGCTTTTTAATAGTTCTAGTATTAACTTCTGACATAATTAAAAATATAGCCTATGCTTTCTGACTCCCATCTGGCACTTTCACTTGGGAGAAATGTGATTAAGCTGCCTATATTAGGAGTAATGTTTAACACTGCCTTTTCAAAACATGGGGGTGAGGTGGGGGATACAATAGAGGTGTCAACCTCAACTACTACCTAACAAAAAGAAAGGAAAAGCTGGGGAGATATAAATACACATAAATTGGCAGTCAGTCACATTCTTTTGGGGACAAATAAAAGCAGACTTAAATGGATAGACAAATGAATGGAATCTGGGAGGGTTCTGAGAGGAAGCCTTAGAAGCAAAAAGAAAAAAAAAAAATACATGTTCCATGCCCCATCTTAAACACACAAAGAAAACATTTACTTTTTTGTTTCCTTCCTTTCATTAATTAAATGAATTATTTGTTGTCCCTGGCATGTACCTGGCACACTTCTAGGGTTTGAAGAATCATCACTGAACAAAACAGAGAATATCTCCACTCTCGTGCAGTTTACATCCCTGTGTTGTCTAGTAAACAATAGACAAGTAAACAAGGATCACCTGATAGTGAGGACTTCCATACTGAGAATTAAAATAGAAGGACAAGGTGGAGTGCCTTGGTGACTGTGTTAGATTTGGAGCTGAGAGAAGACCTTTCTGAAGAAGACACGGAGGTAGATGGTGTGGGTTTTTTTAAGTTGAGGAACTGTATCATCTCAAAAGCAAAAATGCTTTAAGTACCTTGTCTATGTAGTAGGTGCAAAAGGGAGTTCAGTGGTTATGGAGTTGTTTCATTGACAAATAAGACTTTTTTGCCCACCTGAAATAATAAAAATCAGAGAATAACAATAGGATGAAATTAAAATTTAATTTGGGGAAGTAAAAAAAGAAATACCCTGGAAAGTAATGAGCTGGTTCACATTTATGCCAAAGGTAAAGGAAGGAAAGGAGTGTAAATCACAAGAAACTATACCTTCCACATACTGATTATTACATATGTGACATCCAAGTAGTAATGGCCTATTAAGAGTAAAACAAGCTGAGCTGAACATTAATGGGAAATAAGAGAAAGAAGTACAAACAAACAGTGCGGAATTATATATTTAAACATAGTGTTTATAGCAAAGTAAGCTACAGAACAACTAAACCTGACCCAAAATGAAATTGTTCTGAAATGATAAATGTGGATATATGGAGACGTTGGGGGAAAAAGCTTCATGATAATGTCAGTGATATTTTTTTCCCTCCCACAAACTACAGGACCAGAAAAGTCTCTTCTTCAGGGAAAAATCTAAAATATTAAAATCCAGGTACTGTATGTAATTAAAAGGCAAATGCACTTGACATTTTTAGTGGTACAATCTCAGAATGCCAGATCTGGGACAGTCATCCAAACATGCCATTCAAAGCACAAACAGGAACAAAATCACATTTGAATATTAGAGAAAGAAATAGAAAACAAATAAAACCTTTACTAGTGCTCAAATTATAAGAACGTGATGTGATCTAAAATAGTAAAGATGGTCGACATTTTAAACCTATTCCCACTCTGCTTATTTACGAAATGAAGGGTTAAGACTAGCTGTTTTTTGGGATGCTTTTAGTTATGAATTCCATTTTCATTTTGAGTAGGTCATTTTCCACCAAGGCTTCGATAATTCCTTAATCTGGCATATCTCAGGAGAATACACAACATGGTTTAAATCACGTTAATAGAGGTTGCACTACAATTTTTAGAGGTGTTTATTTACTAAATTAGAGACTGCCTTAATATTAAACAGATGAACCAGATTTAAAAAATGATTTTAGTTGAGCTCTAGCTTTTCCAAGATAATTTAGTATAAAGTCTAAATTATTAATAAATATTTTAGAGTTTGAGATTGGTTTTTAATCCTAAAATATTTTTTGGCCTTGAGTGAATGAATGAAAAGATGGGAGCCTTATTTTTAAATGGTTCTTGGCTGTCTAAAATTTTCTAATAACTACATTTCACAATTTCTAATTCTCAAAGTATCTAACAAACACACCCAAAATACTTCAGTGGGCTATAGATTGTCCAATTCTAGATAATCAACCTTTTTATACTCAACATCTTCCCTTGTCTAAATTGGACCCTTTTGATAAGAAAGTTTCATCTCTTCAGCCGGGCGCAGTGGCTCACGCCTGTAATCCCAGCACTCTGGGAGGCCGAGGCTGGTGGATCACGAGGTCAGGAGATGGAGACCATCCTGGCTAACACGGTGAAACCCTGTCTCTACTAAAAATACAAAAAATTAGCCGGGCGTGGTGGTGGGCGCCTGTAGTCCCAGCTACTCGGGAGGGAGGCTGAGGCAGGAGAATGGTGTGAACCCGGGAGGCGGAGCTTGCAGTGAGCGGAGATTGTGCCACTGCACTCCAGCCTGGGTATCAGAGCGAGACTCCGTCTCAAAAAAAAAGAAAGAAAGTTTCATCTCTTCCACAAAGCCTTTTCCAGCCCTCAATCCCCCAAGGGACTTCGGAATTTCTCTGCACTTGTTGGCTGTGTTTCTCATTTGAACTTTAAATCACAGCCTAATAGAGGTAGGCTGGAGTTTTAGAAGGAGCAAGGCTTTCTGAAGTGACCATTCACCAATGTATAGAGTTGGGGAAGTTACATAACTTGAATCTCAGTTTCTTTGTCTATAAAATGTAGTAGTAATATTCTTTTATATATATTCTAAGAATTATATGAGATAATGTTGAAGAAAGCTTATAAAGGTTTGTTTCCTGTGTGTGTTTTCCATTTATTTCTTCTTGGAGGGTACATACCAGCGCCTATCTTGACTCTCTAGCAAAGAGTAACAATTCAGGAAATATTTGATCCCCAAATCCCTCGCTTACATTAGAGATTTGACCACCAACACTCTGTACGCCACTGTTTGGAAAACAGAGTTTTACAATGTAAATGCAAATTGGCTTTTGCTTGCTATTTGAAAAGCTAGAGTAGTTGGTATAAATTAGTTCTCAGAAGAAATTAAGTGCCTGTTAGTGGCACAGTTGGATCTCTCATACTCCTTTCTTCTTTATGGCTGCTTCAGATTCTCCTGCGACCACTTCATAAAACACTGCGTGTGTTGGTAGCGGGGCTGGAAGGTCGGGGGACAGAGGGGTGCTTGTTTTGTCTTTTTGCCATGAAAACTTTTGGTCCCTTACGTTTCTTCTCTTAAAATCTAATACTCAGCAGCCTTTAAGCAAGTGACTTCATTTTTCCTTGACCTTTAGTATATTTACTTTTTCGATTATTTTCAAATCCACTGAATCCAAGTGGTTCACATATTCCATGAGAGTTTTGAATTCCTAAAAGCCAGTTTCTATGCACCTCACTCCAAATGAGTCCAACTACTGTCAATGACCCCCAGCTTACGGAGTAAAGGAAAAATCTTCATTGATTTTGAAGGGATCGCTGAGGCACCGTCCTCCAGTATTGCCAGATCAAACAGCTGGCTGGGGGTCCTCAGTATTTCCTGGAACACCTAACCCACCTGGATGATCCAAGTTATTCCTCTTCCATCTGCCTCACTCTGAGTTTGCTCTTTCCATGGATATCACTGAATTTATATTTTATGAACATATTTCTTTCACAATCTGCCCCCAATATGTTTTCACAATTTGAGAGACTAGAGAGCTAAGATATTTAAAGGAAAATTGTGTTCTCTATCAAGTTTACACATACTTAGTAGGTTAAGATACTGGAGCCTGCCTCATCTCAGCTACTTGGGATCACTGCACGAACCAAAATGCTCAGATACGGAGATTAAAAACTTACATTACAAAATCCCATCCTCACCGCATTTTCTGCTTTAAAAATACTGAACAGTTCTCTGACCTGTAGTGAACTCAGCAGTGGAGCTGGAGCAGCCAAGAAAAATGGGGCAAAAGAAGAGTCAAACCAAAGGCTAAAATCTGTAAAACCAAGTATAATTTGAGAAACAGGATCGATAAAGCTATCCAATAAATTGTTAATAACATCACATGTGACTATTAACAGTTTTCCCCAAATCTTAGCTGACGAGTGATTTCTAATTTTCTTGAAATTAGAAACTTCAAGCTGAAGTTACAAGAATCAGGTGAAATGACAGAAATCATTTTCTACGCATAAATCACTTCTGATCTTAAATTCACAACTCCCTAAAGTCAAATTTTCTTCATCAAACCTCTCTGGATGCTAGATTGGTAGTGTCAGCCCCTCCTAACTTTCTCAACTCTCCTTCTGCCCTGGAGCTGGTGTTGCCTCCTTTGTCTTCTTAACATTCAGATTTATGTTCACCACTGAATTTGCCCCCAGCATGTTCCTTATTTTGGTGTGGTTTCCCAATAAAACTCTGCTGGGAAGTATTCTTTTAAACAATATGATTAAAACAAAAAAAACCAAACTATCATTTCTCACCTAGACTATTTTAAAACAGAACTATTCGATCTCTTATTTTATTTTATTTTTTTGAGACAGGGTCTCACTCTGTCTCCAGGGCTAGAGTGCAATGGAGCTATCTTGGCTCAGTGCAGCCTCACCCACCTGGGCTCAAGCGATCCTCCCAGCTTAGCCTCTGGAGTAGCTGGGACTATAGGGACATGCCACTATGCCTGGCTAATGTTTTCTTTCTTTCTTTTTTTTTTTTTTGGTAGAGGTGAGGTGCCTCCATGTTGTCCAGGTTTGTCTTGAACTCCTGGGTTCAAGCAATCTGCCTGCCTTGGCCTCCCAAAGTGCTGGGATTACAGGCATGAGCCACCACACCAGGCCAATCTCTTATTTTAAACTCAAATAGAGACATCTCTAGGGCAATCAGATAATTCACAAATTTTAATCTCTGTTCACTCATATTATTTTTCTTTCCCAAACAGGCATTTAACATACCCGCACAATTCAAAGCTACTTAAATATTCCAAGTCATCACAGTAACTCAATCCTTTAAGCACATAACATTTCAACCCAGATGAACACACTAAAATAATTTAGAAACAGACTAAAATAATTCCTTGTAAGAGCTCTGTAAACATCTGGACAAATCTTATTCTATCATATCACAATGTACTTTAATAACTAAGTCTATTCTAGGCACATGGCCACAACTACTTGCATTGTAACAGATGATGTTCTCAATATAAGATTATGTTGCTATGGCATCAACAAACCATGATCTTATGAATCAATTCTCTTATTTACCAGGATCATTTTTAAGGAAAATAAAAAATTACTGGTTCTCTATTACATGTTTACATTTATGATAAATGTAAATTTAGCACTAAGTATGAAAATTAGTAATTTGACATTTTCTTAGTGTACAAAATGAGACCTATGGCCAGGCATGGTGGCTCACGCCTGTAATCCCAGCACTTTGAGAGGCTGAGGCAGGCAGATCACTTGAGGTCAGGAGTTCAAGACCAGCCTGGCCAACATGGTGAAACCCCATCTCTACTAAAAATACAAAAAATTAGCTGGGCATGGTGGCAGGCACCTATAATCCCAGCTACCTGGGAGGCTGAGACAGGAGAATTGCAACCTCCTGGGAGGCAGAGGTTGCAGTGAGCCGAGATCGTGGCACTGCACTCCAGCCTGAGTAACAGAGCAAGATTCCTTTTCAAAAACAAAAACAACAACAACAACAAACCAGGCCTATATTGTAATCACTGATAATTGCTAGAATTTATCATTAGATTTTTCAGGATCATTAGATTTTTCAGCAATATAGTTTTGCAATTTATTAACATGTACCAAAAGAATGAATATGAGAGAATAGAATGTAAATTGTAATATTTACCTTTTCAACTAAGATCACACAGTACTAGTTTATTTTGCAGTACAACAAGTTTGTCTTTGACATATGTGGAATAAATTCTACAAAGCTGAAAGAATTTGCCAGTCCTTTTAAATTAAGATTATCTCAAGCTATTTCCAAATCCTCAACAAACTGAAACATGGTTTTTGCATTCTGCATGTAGGAATGTGGCTGACAACAAAGATTTGCATAAGACACTCCACTCTCTCCCTGTGAGGCCAAGTTTTGTATTCCTTCATTAGTTTGTATGAATTCATATAACGAAGTCTCTGGCTCAGACAGATTGTTTTCTCTAACTTTTGTTATATGAAGATTATTTCAGCTGAACCTGAAAGGAGACACACATTCTTATACATCTTTTGCAAAATTGTCCTACCTTATAGAGGAAGAATAAGTAAACACATTTAAATCAAGATGAAAATCAATAGTTTGTAGATTAGAAAACCCTGGTTCTATCTAGCTCAAATAAGATCAAATGCTGACTTAACAACTGCATCTAAAAGAAAAAGTCATAAAATAATTTTCTATGTCTGTATTAGTTTCTCAAGGCCACTGCAGAAAACTGCCACACACTTGATGGCTAAAAACCACACATATTTATTCTCTTACAGTTCTGGGAACTAGAGGGCCCCAAAGCAGTATCACTGGGCCAAAATCAAGGTGTCAGTAGGGTTACCCTCGCTGCTGAGGCTCTAGAAGAGAACTCATTCCTTGCCTTTTCCAGCTACCAGTGCTGCTGGCATTCCTTGACTTGGGGTTACATGACTCCAGTCTCTACCTCTGTGGTCACATTGACTTCTCCTCTGTCAAATCTTCCTCTGCTTTGCTCTTATAAGAATACATGTAACTGGATTTAGGGCCCACACTGTTAATCCAGTATAATCTACCTTGTCAAGATCCTTTACTTAATCACATTTGCAAAGACCGCTTTTCCCTAAAAGATAACATTTACAGCTTATTGGGATTAGGACCTGGTATCTTCCAGTAGCCATTATTCAGCCTACTAAAATCTATATGCTTTCCAATGTATTTTTAAACAGAATTTTTCAAGGTATAGGCTTTAAAAAATTAAGAGAATCCCAAGAGATCTAAACAGTAAGAGAGAGAGGCCTAAGTGATGATATTGAGTGGTATTGAACAAAATAAGACAAAGAAGATCATCTGCCATATTTGACAGATGTTGGTAGACAACATCTTCTCTTCATGTTCCGTTGTTTGTAATTTGTTTTTACTGCTACCAGAACCTCTTACAATTCTCTACTCACTCATGTAAATACTAGCTGCAGAAGGTCTGGCAAAACTTTCTCCTATTTGTATATGTGTAAAGTGGTCTTTCCCTTACATCAAGTTAAAGAAAAAATACAGTTGTAATAGCTACTTCCCAATAGCCAAAGGGTTGTATTTGAAAGAGGGATGAAAATCACTCCAGGTACCAAGAAAAACTACTGTGTGATCTGGGACAAGTTATCTGCTTTTTTTGAGACCCACTTTTCTCATCTTTACAATGAAATAACTAAATTCTGCTCTCTAGGCTTGTTCTGAAGATTACTGAATATACATTTAAAGTACCTAGAAGTATTTGACACATAGCAGGAACTTAATATACAATTACTGGTATTACTATTAAGGATTAAGAAAGCACTGGCATGCAACATATTATATATTTGACAAGATTACATCATCTTGAAAAAATATAAGAAGTATTCTTTTTGTATAGTACTTTAAGGAGGATATTATTCATTTTATATCATTTTCCTTCTCACTGTGATATGTAGAATATATCACACCAAAATTGTGGTTGACCCAACACTCCAACCAGTGTCCTATTTTATTCACTCTGTATTTCTTAATCTATTCAATAAATATTACTAAATCCATTTGCTGTGCTAGATGCTGAGGGAGGTGTGTGACACAGCCTGTAGTCTAGTAGGGGAGGTAGGCATTAAATAATTAACTCCAGTCAATTTCAGTGCTATATATGAAAAAGACAATTCACTCCTTTTTATGACTTGACTTACAGCTCACAGTGCCCAGAAAACTGGGATTCTTGATAGAATGCGCCACATATATCCTAATTAGCAACAATCACTAGTTTGGCCCCATAATGTACATACCTAACACACACTTTCACAGGCAAGAGAAGAAAATACCTATCATCATATTATGATCAAAGTATTTTGAAGTAAAAATACTTCCTCATTATTTCTTAGAATACTGCATACAGCAATTCCTTTAAAAGCAGACTCTACTAGCATGTTTCCCACTGAACAGAACTGTTTGTCCATTTAACCAAAAGGTATTTATTGCCCGGGAATTCATTAGTTCATTATTTGAAGAAATACGTATATTGGGCAAGAATGTAAATCAGGCTGTTTAGTTATCACATGAAAATGCATAAAACAGTACCCACATTCAAAGAGTTCAAAGAGTCCTTCAGGAAATCAGGTGCCTAAAAGTCAAACTGACCTTTAAAAAAAAAATGTTCATAGCTTCCTCTGTTAAATGAATGATCGTTTCAGAGCTTTCTAAATGCCAAACTCTTTTAATATATTATTTCAATTAGCTTTCACAAGCACTTATGAGGCTTGTTGTATGTTTTTTTTTTCCTTTGAGACAGAGTCTTGCTCTGTCACCGAGTCTGGAGTGCAGTGGAGCCATCTCAGGTTACTGCAACCTTCTCCTGGGTTCAAGCAATTCTCCTACCTCAGCCACCCGAGTAGCTGGGACTACAGGCGTGTGCCACTGTGCCTGACTAATTTTTGTTTTTAGTAGAGACGGGGTTTCACTCTGTTGGCCAAGTTGGTGCGTACTCCTGGCCTCAAGTGATCCGCCCACCTTGGCCTCCCAGAGTGCTGGGATTACAGGCATAAGCCACTGTGCCCAGCTGTATCTTCTTTTACCGATGAGGACACTGACAGGTTGGTATCACCTCTTTCCTAGTCTATATTGCAGCCACTCCCTTATTGAAGTTTCTGACTCCAAGTCCTACTCATCCTAATCTACCTGCAGCTTTTAAGGTGTCATTTTTCTAAAACTTAAATATGATCCTATCATTGTTCTTCTTAATAGCCTACAAAGATTTCAGGGAAAATGAAAATGACGAATATAAATTATACTGCACACACTATTTATAATAATATTTAGCCACTTAAAATTAAAACACATAAAAATGTGGGTAAAGCTCATGGTAAAATAGTAACTACAAATAATTACAAGTCACAATCTTTGCAATTATGAGAAATGTTTAAGTAAGCACCTGATAAAAAAAAGGAAAAAGCAAAAGTGATAACAGTTGCTTAGAATATTGTTTCAGAACACCTTTTAAGGTTACCACACTGTTTTAATTTTTAAAGTGGAAGAGAAAGTGCTTTAGCACTGTTGATAGCTGCCACCCTGCCCTCAAGATAAAGTGAATCTTGAGTCTTACAGCCCTTTCTCATATCTGTATCAACATACATTTTAGCCTAATTTCTTACTAACTCCTCAGTATATTCTTGAACACTGCATTAACTTTCATGTCTAACTGCAAACCTCTGCCCATGCTGTTACCAGTGTGGATATGGTCTCTGGTTTTTCTACCTATTTAAATGTCACTTTGTATGGAATTCTATTTCATGTTTAGGCACACTGCATGAAATTATTACTTCAACTATCAGGTTCTTTCACAATTCACAACTTCTTGAGAGCATGGAACATATCCTATGTATTTTTAGTATTTTCTCAATGCCTAGTGTAAGACATATGGCAGAGAGTAAGTGTGCAACAAAATTGTGTTAATATTCATATTTTTCATAAGTGAAAACAATTTTTTTGTTGATATGATGCTTTGATGGTTTCTGATTTAAGGTTAGGATGTTAAACGGACTCTATTTTTACATGACCATAATTCTACTCCCCAATTCTGTTCCTAAATCTTTAGTGAGCTAAGAATTCAGATTCATGGTAAGGTTAGAATTGTGCTGGACTGCTTGTGACTTCAACTATCCATCTTCCATGGTCAGTTCTTGATCAACTGATACAGTTTGGGTGTTTGTGCCCTCCAAATCTCATGCTGAGATGTATTCCCCAATGCTGGAGATGGGACTTGGTGGGAGGTTTTTGGTTTTGGGGGTTGGCTCTCTCACGAATGCCTTGGTGCCATCCTCACAGTAATGAGTGTTCTTGTGAGATCTGGTTGTTTAAAGAGTGTGGACCTTCCCTCTCCTGTCTCCCTCTCTTGCCAAGTGATACATGGTTCCCCTTCACCTTCTGCCATGATTGTAAGCTCCCTGAGGCCCTCACCAGAAGCAGATGCCAGCACTACGCTTCCTCTACAGCCTGCAGAACCATGAACCATTTAAACCTCTTCTCTTTATAAACTACCCAGTCTCTGACTGCATGCAGTGGCTCACACCTGTAATCCCAGCACTCTGGGAGGCTGAGGCAGGTGGATCATTTGAGTTCAAGACCAGCTTGGCTAACATGGTGAAACCCGATCACTACTAAAAATACAAAAATTAGCTGGACAGGGTGGCGGGCACCTGTAATCCGAGCTACTGGGGAGGCGAGGCAGAAAAATCACTTGAACCTAAGAAGCAGAGGTTGTAGTGCCAATGCACTCCAGCCTGGGTGACAGAGTGAGATTCCATCTCAAAATAATAATAATAATAATAATAATAATAATAATAATAATAATAATAATAATCCAGCCTCACATATTACTTTATAGCAATGCAAGGACTAACTAACACACCAAATGAAGGCCAAATTTCTTACTTTGCTTACTCTTCAAAATACTTGTAAAGCATCATGATCCAGATGTGCTGGAGATTGAGGATGAAAGATAAAAGAAGAAAGAATCTATACTCTCAAAAATATCACTGCTTAGGTTCCCTAGAAGCAGAGCCTAAGACAAGGATTTGGATGCACATGATTTATTAAGGGAGTGTTGTCAGATGAAAAGGAGAGAGGAAAGTAGGGTAGGAAAGGGAAAGCAGCTAAGTGAGAATGTGGTATTAGCATAAGTCTAACTTCAGCCTGATGTCACGGGGAGCACTAGAGCATGAATTGCCCCAGAGTTGACCTAATGAAGTGAGGGCACTGGCTTTTTGTATTCCCCATGTCAGTTAGTCATCAGATATGAGCTGATAGTGCTGGGAGATGGGCACATAAGGTTTGGCAAAGTAAATGTTTTTCAGCTACAAGTGATTCTGAAGAGAAGTGGGGGCTGTGAGCCAATAGCAGCTAACACTGACGGAAACTGGGCATTTTACAGGCTTGGTAAAAGGGATCTGGCCAGGGCACCAAAGGTGACTAAAGTCACAGGAAAGCAGCACAACCTCCAAGTGACAACATACTCCGCTCTTTAAAAAAATATAAAGCAGCAAGGAAAGAGGCATTTTGAAGGGTAAAAATCATAAGATTTATAACTTAACCAGCAGTGTTTCTAGCTCAATCAGCAGTTGCTCATATTTATCTGTACATCCTGACATTATCTGTAGACGGTCCTTAAAACCTGACTCTTCCCTTAGCTGTGTCCTGTAAGATATGGATATTTCTTAGTTGCTGTTTCTAGCTGTGCATCTTGAAATTGCATTCTTGGATTATTTTAATCTTATCAAAGCCTTTATATGCGTGACTCTGACTGAAAATGGAGGGCTTCTTCATTTCCACAGAACAACTCCTACCTGGCTGATCAGATAGCAGCTGGATTATTCTTTTAAAAACAGTTGATTCTCTGTATAAAGCTTGTGCACATCAGGCTTGCTTTTTTTCCCCCAAGTCAGAAATCAAGTTCAAGAAGAATTTCAAGCTGACATAAAAATAATTCCCCTCAAAAGTCTAAAATGTCATTCTCTACAGCCTATACTAAACTTTTCACATGGAAATGGTTACGAACATCTGAGTATTGCATGATTGAACCATAGCATTCATTTTTTTCCCCAGCAAATATTTATTAGACACTTACTAGGTTCAAAAATTACACTAAATGACATGATAGATAAAATGATTAAATCAAATGAAACTTCAAATTTGAAAGAAATACTGGACACTATCACATCTGTGAAACTTTTATTAGCAGTAGAAATTTAAAAAATAAAATCATACGTAGGGACCCAATATATGAAACACTGAGAGCACAGACACAGTAGCTGAAACAGAAATAAGATACCACAGCCTTGAATGCTCTGACTTCATTTTGCCCCACATTCTTGAAAAATCACTCATTCAAGTGCATTTATAGTTTGGGCAACCTAGATTTGAACAGGTGATTTGGCTAAACGTACACGACTGCTTTGTAGAACCCAGGTCATCCGACACCAAGCTTGGTACATTTTCTTTCAAACTGCAGCTAAAGATATACTTCCCATCCTCTGGCACTTTGCACTTTGTTTGAAAAGAAAATAAATGTTCAATAATGATACAAATTGCATGACACTAATGCTATATAAATGCTGCAGAGTAATTTACATAAGACTGGGAAATGTGAAATGAATCATTCACAGAAGAAACTGATGAAGTAATTTCAATGTCTACATAAAATTTCTCAGTGTTTCATGTAAGAACAGACTATGGTAATTATCTTTTGTTGTTATTGTTGGGGAGGAAAGTAACTAATGAGTAAATGACAAATAACCAAACTCCAAATCAATTTAAAAAAAATCAGCTATGCTCCTTTCCCCTAACAACCCAAATACTTCCAAATGTTTCTACAATCAAAACTGCTTGGGCTGGGCTTTATTTATCCTCCCTTCTTTAGCCTTCAATTTGTAGATCTTGAACTAATTTAGAACAGTTTAAAGAACACCAAAAGTTAAGTGACAAAGACAAAGAGATGCACTGCCTCCTACACTCTTTCCCTGTAAGAAAAACACTGGAACGGTCCAGTGACCTGTCTGAGTCAGCATCCTCAATCTCATGTCCTGTCTTTCCTGCACCCTCACCCTGTGTCAGGGTCCTCCGGCTGTGATAAGCTCCCAAATTGCAAGTGTCACAGGCTTCAGTGGACCAGTGTATTCGCAGTCACAACAGCAAGGACTTGCTGTGGAAAGAAGGTGCTATTTGAACAGTTCAAGTGCTTCTGGTTTGCTGTGTCTGCTCTGATCGCAAAATTCTATCTGATTTTGACCTGCGACCTATCTCTAATGTCCAGCTTCTTGTACAACGCAGACTCCTGAGGCATCCTCGGGCTGCTGCCTCTCACCTTCAGATGCCCTTTGAGCCCTGCCTCCTGACTTAATCTTCCCTTCCAATCACTGCTGGTTGGTTTCTGCCCCACCTTACCCTCTTGCTTCTGGGCTCTATGCTGTGTTTTTCAGCCCCTTTGTGGTTTTCTTCTTTCTGGCATCTGGTTGTGTGTGAAGAATCATGCTGCCTGCACTAGTTTAGCCAGTTATGCGGTTCAGATCAGCAACAGGAGATGGGTTATTCCGTTAAAGGATTGTAAAGGCCACAGCTCTAATAGCTTCAGCTCGCCACACTTCTAGGAGAGAAATTCTAAATTCTGATTATAGATAATCCAGGAAATTTTAAATCAAATATATGAGTCATTATTTATTATGTGTTAACAGCCTATACATTTATTGTAACCAGATATAAAAAGTCAAGTAAACATCGCATATGAACTGTCAACTTAACTGTAAGGGTGAAAACATTCCCCTCTTTAAGAAGGATGAAAAGATGCAATAATTCCAGCTTCCAAGGATGAAAGGCCTCCAGGGTTTTGTAGATTCTACATTTTAAAAAATATTTTAGATCAATAACATGAAGAAAGGAGTCAGTAGCACCTGTCACAGACACAGACATGGTTACTGAAGCAGTATCAGCTTAGTGCATATTATATCATATGTCACTGCGGGAATATCAGCCACGAGAAGAAGAAAAGCACCCTCAGGACAATATTGCCTGGACCTGACCCCAGATCTTATTTTCTTGAATGACAGATATTTTTAAAAAATCATTTTTGGTAACCCAGAGGTACACCCCAAGCCAGTTCTAAATTACGTGATCTTCCCAGGAAGAAAGCAGCTGTTTTTATGTCTGAATAGCTGATAGGAAGGTAGGTGAAGATACTACAGGGCTCTTTGGGAAGTTGGTAGGGATAGATGTAGGAAATCTAGGAGAACATGCTTCTAGTATTTCTAAATTTTTTTCTAGTTGGTTATACTCCCTGAGTAATAACTTGGAAAAAGCGCTACTGATTTTGGAATATAAGGGTAGCACTTGGGGCCTGGCACAAACGACAGAACTAAGCTTTTAATTTGACAGTGGATTTTATTGGAGAATATCAGGAGATACTGAGGTATAATGGATACATCTTGGCAGAAAGTGAAAGTTATTGAAGTCAGATTTAGAGCATGAAAATCCAGCTGACAAATCTCTCATTCCAAAGAGTTTAGGACTATATTCAAACTTCATGAGATCATAACTATCTTCACAGTTTCCACTGCCAGATTTCTGAGGATTTTAGAACAGCATATGTCTGCTATTATTGCATTCAAATAAATTTTTGTTTTATTTTACTGATACATGGATTTGAAAGTCAAAGGAAATGGTGGCTTTACATTTAATGAAAGCTTTTGTGTTTAAAAGGTAAAATTGGGGTAGCTGAGCACAGTGGTGCATGCCTGTGATCCCAGCACTTTGAGAGGCCAGGGTGAGAGGATTGCTTGAGCCCAGGAGTTTGAGATCAGCCTGGGCTACGTAGAGAGATCTAGTTTCTACAAAAAATAAAATTGTTTAATTAGCTGAGTGTGATGGCTTGTGTCTGTGGTTCCAGCTACCTGAGAGACTGAGGGGGGAGTATTTCTTGGGCCCAGGTGGAAGCTGTAGTTAGCTATAACACTCTAGCCTGGGTAACAGAATGAGACCTTGTCTCAAAAAAAAAAAGTTAAAGTAGGGGATAAAAGATGAATTTCACAAGTCAGGAATAGTTCAGTACACAACATTGGGTTTGATTAGAGTCCTCTGAGTGCCAAAGAGGATGCGGACACCTCAAATACCACTCATATTTCTATTCTTTATATCTTCATACGAAAAGATATACTTCGGTACACTTAGGACCATCTTCTTGAATCCAGACTGGTCCTCCAGTACAAGCTGTACCTCTTGTCAATAACTGTGTAGACTAAACCGTTCTCAAACTTACATTATTATCATTATTATGTTTTTTATACAAAGGGCAGTACATTCTTTTCACCAGAAACATCTATGTGCACAGTTAGAGGGATTAAAGTCTAAACACCTGTCACCATAGAAAAAGGCAGCTAAGGCAGCCCAATCAACTTCTCCCTTGTGTTTTCAGAAATAAACCAACAACATGATAGAAAAGCTATAAGATGTATTCAAATCGATGACCAATTTTTGATTAGCAGCATTTCAACCACCACAATGTTTAATACAACTTCCCTTTGCTAAGGAAAAAGAATCCGTAAACTCTTCTTTGAAGAAATATACTTGCATGTTTAACAAGCTGTATTCATTCACACATTTATATCTTCATGCAGTCAGTACAAAATTATTAAATATACACAGTACTGTAAATGTTTTGGTTTAGGGACTGATACAGGGGGAAAAAAATCAAAAGCAACACTCCAAGGTTGTAAACCTATAGTCCCTTTAGATTTATTAAGTAGGCCATCAAAGAAAAAATAAGACTGTTAAAGTTTTATAATTTACAACTTCTCTTTGGAGAATGGAGTAGTTGTATGAGACAGTTGTTTTGGTTTGTTTTGTTGTTAATTTGAAAAAGAAGGGTTAGACAATCAGAAGTAGGTGTTCAAGATTTGATGACTGAAACATCAATTGGTGTTATGTCAAGTATATAAGTCCTTAATAAATACGTGTGGATTGTGTGAAATGTTTAAACTGAAAAGTGAAAAATCTGTTAAAGATACACATTTTAAGTAATATGAAATGTTTCACAGCAATGTCAGAAAACATATTACCAAGGAGAAAGATAAAAGTGAAACAGACATGAAAATTTGCAAACTACTTAGTTTACATCCATTTATGCTGGTTAAAGAAAATTTAGACAGTGGTCATTTTCTGATATTTAAAATGTCTTTTTATTCAAAAGATGATGCAGATTAAAAACAATTACATTGGCTGGGCACGGTGGCTCAAGCCTGGCAGCCCTTTGAGAGGCCGAGGCGGGCAGATCACTTGAGGTCAGGAGTTCAAGACCAGCCTGGCCAACATGTTGAAATCCCGGCTCTACAAAAAATACAAAATTATCCAGGCGTTGTAGCAAGTGCCTGTAATCTCAGCTACTTGGGAGGCTGAGGTGGGAGAATCGCTTGAAACTGGGAGGCAGAGGTTGCAGTGAGCTGAGATTGTGCCACTGCACTCCAGCCTGGGTGACAAGAGTGAAACTCTGTCTCAAAATAAATAAATAAATAAATAATTACATTAATGCTCTTTTTATCAAAACATTACTGAATCCTTCGCTGCTTACTGCCAATGTCATCTGGACACAAAACGACAACATGGTAATGATACAATATAAGGCAAGTTGGGATTTCACCTTATGATCTGCCACTTGAAGATATACTCATAAAAATATATCATATTTCCAAGTGTGGACATATCTGTATTCTATTTTAGGAAACAGAAAAAAAAATTCCAAGTTTCTATTTGCTCATGGAAGATTGAGAGCAAAATCTTCTACAGAGCCACCAGGGACAGACATTACAAATAAGAAGTGATATTGAAGGTAAAGTTCTATAGCAATGGTTCTCAGTATAGCAGATAGTGCCTTCTGGAGGCATCTAGGAAATGTGTAGGGACACTTGGGTCTCCCAGTTAGATTAAGACTCTATAATATTTAGTGGGAAAGGGCAGGGCTGATAGACATCCTGAGATCTACAGGACAGTCTGCATAATTAGTAGTTGCATTTGGTGATTCTCAGAATAGTGGCAAACATCAGAGTATTCTTTCTGTCTTCTAATGTGGTTGTGTTCAACAGTTTAGGCAATAAGCATATGTTTTAGTTCCTTTAGCTCTTTTTAATATTAAAGTTAGGTAACTTTGGTTATCTTTTGAAATTACGTATGTTGGTAAATGGAATGGAATGGATTTTTCTTTTTCATAGTACAGAGGGTCTTACAAACAGTTGTTATATTTGGGGTCTGAATAGGGTTGGGAAACCTCTGTTCCATAAGCATGCCTCAAAATATGAGAAAGAGACACAGGCAACCAAGGCTTCTCCCAGGGCTGTGAGAGAATGAGCCCAATAAGACTACTGAGTTTTATATGGATTCATACTCCATTGTAGCTATATTGTCTTCATGGGAGCAGCTACACCCAGGAGATGTTTTAGAGACAAAATTTGGTCTTATGGATAACCAAATTGTAAGATGGTTGCTAGCAACAGAGTTGTACAGAGAATAGTAACTTTGTAGGTAAGAAATGATAACAACAATAAAATAATTTGTTAAGAGAAAAAGTGATAATTATTAGCCATGAGCAAGAGAGAAGATAACCTTCATCAATGGAAAAAGGCAAAAAAAGGAACATGGACAAGTACTACGATGTGAGTGTCCTAAAATTAATACACATATCTTACTCATATTTCCATTCTTCAGTCTATGTTTAATAACACTGCAAGTACTTAATAAACTAAAATACTGAAATAAATAAAGAAAATAAAGAGTTGGTAAAAAAATAGATACATCAAAAATTGTAAAGGAACCTACCATTCATCCTTGATCATTTTGAAAATAAACGAACTGATTTCTTTCCGTCTCCTCCCTCCTTTTTTTTTTTTAAGATGGAGCTTCGCTCTTGTTACCCAGGCTGGAGTGCAATGGTGCGATCTCGGCTGCAACCTCTGCCTCCCGGGTTGAATTGATTTTCCTGCCTCAGTCTCTGGAGTAGCTGGGATTACTGGCATGCACCACCATGCCCAGCTAATTTTTGTATCTTTAGTACAGATAGGGTTTCACCACGTTGGCCAGAATGCTCTTGAACTCCTGACCTCAGGTGATTTGCCTGCCTTGGCCTCCCAAAGTACTGGGATTACAGCCACAAGCCGCCGCTCCCCGCCCTCCCTAACTCATTCTTTTAGTTGTGCTTGGGTGCAAATCTGTTCACTGTGCTGCCACCTCCCTCGCCTTTTTCCTTTGGATTAATCAGATTTTTCTGCCTGTTCTCAGTCAACAGGACTACATACTTGATCTCCAGACTTAGGCCTCTGTCATTGAGAGACTCTCTTTTAGAGAAACAAGAGACATTATATACTAAGTCATTTGAGTCATCCCAGATTAAGACTGAATCAATTTAAGTCTCAGGGGTATTTAAAACTGGATTCTCCTATCCTGAGATTCCTCCACTTCCTGCAGAAAAGTTAATTTAGGTCATTTAATGATATCCTGCACGATGGGCAACTGTGCCTGTGAATGAAACCACACAAAAGTATGATGCAAATATGGAGCAAGTCAGTCCTCTGAGAGAGTTACCCAATTGAGCTCTCTTGGAGCCTCCTAGAACATCTGCCTATCAAGATTTAAGAATGCATATCTTAAAATAATATTTACAAAATCAGATCTGGAGTTTATTATTCACTTAACATCAAGACATTTGGGAAATAAGTCTAGCATTATTAGAATTTTACTATGTATTTATTTCACTGAAGTCTTGATTAGTGAAAGAAAAATGGAGCAAAACCCAGTCAGATTTGGAGTATCTGCAGAAAACCTCTTAGCATCATGTCAGTAAATAAATTTTGTGCTCATGACAACAGATCAGGGAGATGTATACATTACTGGTTATTTGGTTAAATCTAAAACTGAATTCTTCTAAAACTAAAAAAAAGGAAGTAATCCTGAGTTGAGCAATGTATAACATTCTTCTATTTGTCCCTGTAATAGACTCCTTAGACAGCTGTACATATCATGGTGAAATTTAACATTATTTTTTAAAGATTTTTAAAACAATTATTATATTGAGAGTAAAACTGAATTTTTCACTTTAAAAATTTTCATGTGGTTTTAACACTGATTTTCAAAACCATATGTTATTTATCAAAAAACAGTATATATAGCTTAGATGTTTCACAGCAATGTGAGAAACAGGCATCATAGTGAACACTGAAAAAGACTTCTATCAAAACATCTGGTAAGCAGAAGTCAAACTGAACTTAACTGGTAATACGCATATTTATCTAACTTTTTTTTCTAACTTGGTTATATATCTTGGAAGAGATGCAGCAATTTTTTTTTCTAGGAGAAATTTAAAATACTAATGTACTTTATACACATTTTTTATGATTGTGATGACATTTGTCTTACTGTCATTCTTCAAAGCATTATGCAAATTTTAAAAATAGCAACTTTAAGTTAACATTTTTTAAAAAAATTATCTTAGTAGTGAATTTAAAAATATTCTTCACATTTGCCTCTACCAACTAGCTTATCTAATGAATCTCAATTTATTTGTATGGCTGTTACATATGCTTTCTTCCACTTTGATTATTTTGACACACTTTACTTTTTATTAAGAGCAAAAAGTACAGTTCTTATAACTTCTAGAGATACTGCTCCACTCAATGACAATGTCTGCAGAATTCTGAAATCAGAGACTGTCAGTGATTACAAAAAAGCCTATCTTAAATCAAGATGATTTAGAATCTACTGCAGCTCAGGAAATGCGACAGGACCACTATGCACTTAAAGACATTCCAAAGCAAACTAAAGTATTTCCAGGCTTTTCTTAAGGAGCAGCCATCAATAAAAAAACTTTAAATGTTTGATTTTTTTCATTTTTCAAAGTGCAACAAAATGCACCACACAAGTTGAACAGTTAACTGCGTTTGTCTCTTCATTCTTCATGCAACAATTTTACAACTGTCTCTTCATTCTTCATGCAACAATTTTACAACAAGCAGTGTTATCATTAACTGAATCATGTTATGATGAAACATCACAAAATGTTAACCATATCTGCCCATCACATAAGCGAAACTTTTAAAGACTGGCACTAATTAGTAGTGATAAGGATATGGAGAAATAGGTATTCTAACATATTGTTTGGAATGTAAATTTGTATAATTATTCTGAGGGTGATTTGGCTGTAATTATTTAAAATGTATACATATTATATGACCTGACAATATTGCTTCTAGGAATTTATCCTATAACAGAGAATGTAAAGATCTTAACCAAGGATGTTAATTGCATCATTGCATGTAATCCCAAGAAATCTGAATAAACTAAATGGTCATCAGTATAGGAAGGATTAAACATATACTCATGCTATGGAATACTTATATTTTCTTACTTGAAAATAAGTCCAAGACACTATTTTAAGTTCAAAAATGCAAGCTTCAGACCACTATTTTAGGATAACAATTTAAAAAACAGTGTATTTTTCTATACTCAGGTAGACGTAGAAATACAGATAGGGTCTATGTTCATAAATAAGTCTGAAAAGAAATGCCCACATTAAGTAAATATATAACGAATGCCAACTGAAATTACATACAGCAAAGTTTCTATTTAAAACACAACATTGGATTAGTGATTTGTTTTATAAAACTGGAATCAAAAAAGCCTATATACATTTTGGATAATCATATACTTGTTTAAAGGAAGTATTAGTAAATTCTAAATTATAGGAAATCTATTACTTGGACTGTAAATATTCTACCCAAATGAAAAGTGAAGCAACTTCTTCCAAAGAACGTGTCTTAGCAGAGCTGGGGAACTGTCATGAGAAGGGTCACAGCTCATGATTTAACACAGATGTGGCCAATGTCTATTTTTATCCCAAGCCTGCTCTGCATAGTAACTGCATACAGGTGTGATGCCTTCCCTCCTACAACCCTCTTCTTTGGAGCACAATGTCTGATTTAGTGCATTACAGACAGGAAGCACATAATACTTTCTGAATGGATGGCCAATAGTCCCAATATTTAGCGCCTGGTGGAAGAGTTAGGTGTAGCAAATTAAGCAACTAACAAAGACATATTCAAGGGATGGTTGTTGTTACCATGATGATGTGAATTCTAAATTTAAAAAAAGCAAATTAATAAAGTGGTTGCTGTTGTTATCATCGCTAAGAAGTACTGTGCTGGGAAAGCCAAGAGAAAATGCCTGAATTAGATAAGGCGAAATTTTAGCTACATACTTCTTAGGAACTTCAATTTTTATCCTCTGTTTTCCTTCTCTCTATTAACATTTTCTTATTTGCTCTAGTCTTTAGACATTCTTAGACCACCAACAATGAGCCACATTTACTTCAAACTGTCTCCACAGTGGCTGAACTTGTCAGAAAAATAATAGCTGCATAATACAAAGCAGTTTTATTTATTTTATTTTTTTTAAATAAGAGTCAAAACCAAGATGATGGTGATCAGGGTGAATAGAGGAAAGATGTGCTAGGACAGTGAAACCATCCCTACCTCAGATGCATAGCCCAGTTGGGTTTTCACCTGGGAAACAGCAGCAAATAGATCAAGAAAGCAGGAGGTATACAAGAACCAGGAAGTTTCCTCAAACAAAGGGCAAGACTGGAATTGTAAGAGGCACAGATGCAAAGCCAAGTGCTGTGAACAACAGCAGCAGCCAGCAATTACAAGATTGTTTGAATTGAAAATATGGAACATCTCTCACATGAACATCTCTCAGAAAGAGTAACATTGTTAACGAAAAGATAATCTGTATTTGTACGTAAGGGTTAGTAATACTCATACTGTAAGGCTCTTCCTGCCACTACTAACGATATACAAAATGTGATGAGTATCACTTTGTCACCTCTACCATCATATTTGCAAGCACCTGAATTTCTATATTTTGTTAAACAATGAAGAATATAGAGTGTCTACATAAACCAAGCAGAAATGATAACCTCTTTACCAGTTAATACAGAATGAGCTCTTGAATACAGAATAGGAAATATAAGAACTGGAACAAGATTCCAAAATTAGAAGCTCAGTTGAGATCTGTGTCAAAAACAGGAGGTGGCAAATCTAGAACTATGCTGATGTTTGGGGTAAAATTCATTTTCTCTGCCTGCAAACTAAAAACACAATAAACTACACATGTGTTTCAGTATATGGCATTTTTTAATAACCCATTTTTACAAAATTTAAGATATTTTTATTTTAAAATGAATTAAAATTTCTCCATGATTTTTGTAAGATCAATAGGGGTTACATAATTTATTTGAGAAAACCGATCACACAAAAATTGATTTTCTAACCTAAAAGTTTTAAACACATAAAACAAACTCAAAGAATATCATATTCTATCTTTCCCTCCTATGAATCACACATAGTGGTCACCATTCATTCAAGAAAGATCCAATTAACTTTCTACTCTAATGCATTTATTAAATCAGATAGATAATCTTTGAAGTAATCCACATTTCATTAAAAACTGAATGGAATTCATAATTTCAGTCACTACACTGATAAAGGATAAAGAATACTTTGTTTGTCTATAATAGGGCAATAGTCATAAACCAATGCTCTATAACACTCTGCAAATGTGCTTCAATGAGGCCAAACTGGATTTTAATACTTTTTCCCTGCAATTGGATAAATATAGAAAAAAGAGGCAGAAATCATATTACCATAATACTGCAATAAAACTAATGTAATCCTTTTCATGTAGAGATTCAATATAAAGGTCTGTTTTTAATTGCTAAGTATAAAAATACTTAAGACTTTTCTGTAGCATTTGCTACTTCATAATCAAAGTGAAGTTTGAACTGCCACTACATATAGATGATAATATCAACAAATTATATATTATATATGTATATATATGTGTGTATATGTGTGACTGTGTATGTGTAGATATACAGTTTTATATATCTATAGTTTTATAAAAGTGTATATATATGTAATACACATTTGTGTGTTGTCTGTGTATATATAGCTATATATATAGTTTTATAAAAGTGTGTATATATAATATACATTTGTGTGTGTGTCTGGAAAGGCTACACCTTCAACATTGCTTGGAAATCACCTTACCTCATATCCAAATTGATAACTTATAAATTTGGCTTTCCCCAGAACTGCACAATTCAGCTAAATTTCTGCCACCTAAGAAGAAACCCCTCTCCTCCAGTTTCCAATATGTCCTTTATTTTCTTCTGCACCTTTGCCACACACACTTTAACATTCGTATTTCTAACAGTCTGTTGAAGGCAACCTAGGCCGCGTATCATATGCCTCAAAATTCTTCCAAGCTTCTGCCCACTGTCCGATTCCAAAGTCATTTTCATGTTTTTAGATATCAATTACAGTAAGACCACACTTGCAGGTGCCAGAATTTGTATTCATTAGGTATAAGTGCTATAACAAGTTATAGCAAATTTGTGGGTTAAAACAACACAAATTTATATTTTATATATTTGAGAGATCAGAAGTCATAAATGAGTCTTATGGGACTAAAATCAAGGTGTTGGCAGGGCTTTCTTTTTCTACAGACTCAAGGGAGATAATCTGTTTTCTTGATTTTTCCAGTTTCTAGAGGCTGCCTGAATTCCTTGGCTCATGGCCCCAGTCTTCTTCAAAGCAGGCCATTCCCACTTTTGCTTCTGTCATCACATCCCTTCTCTGCCTTTGATTCTGCTACCTCACATGTATCAGCACTCTTGTGATTACACTCGATCTACCTGGAAAATGCAGAATAACTTTTCCATCTCAAGATCCTTAACTTAATCACAACTGCAAATTCTCTTTTTCCAAGGAAATTAACATCTTTACAGCATCTGGGGATTAGATGTAGACATCTTTGTGGGGGGACATTATTCAGCCTATCACAGAGGCCCCAACCAAGAATTATCATGATTACAAATAACTTATCTATTTGATAAAATATTATTCTCTAGAAATGTTAACTGGCTCAGTTTTGATTGACAGCATTAAAATAAAGGTTGTGAGGGGGAGATAATGTCATTATCAAGTATTTTGCCATCTTTGCTCTGACATAAATGTCTATGAAGGGCATTTATGAAGTTACATGGGCAGTAGTTATTTCCGTTTCATTAGTCACTTAATGCGACATTCCTAGAATTAAAGGCAATAAGTAATTTAGACTTTACTGTTGATATTATTTGAAAAAAACTCTAAATTATAAAATTCTCCCTAATAAACAAATGGCATCCTCAGTTTGATGCTATCAGTATACTCTATCAAATAAAAATCTCTGGCTTGTTCTTTAAACACATTAGAGAAATTATTACGATAGACCTCTGGTAATTATATACTCATATTATTCTTGTTGATATGAAAATAGGGATTGAACATATATGATCATTTTAACTGATGATTCTACATGGACAGTGTGAAATAAATGTGGTGCATTGAAAAAAGTAGAGGGAATTGATTTCTGTTCCCACACTTTCAACTGTCTGTACTGCCTCAGAAAATCAAATCATCAATAAACATCAGTCTTCTCATCCATAGGAAGAGGGCATTGACTTAGGTCAAGGATTCCAAACTTTTTAGTATGAAATCATTTTGAAAAAGAAATATGAAATGGAGTATAACTATTTTATTAATAACTTTATAAGTTTAAATTCACTTATGACCAATATCATACTATAAAGCCAATCAGTGAAAAGAAGTGTTCTAAATTTGAAACCAAAGGTTAAGAAAGATGGTTGCATAGGGTTAAAAATAATGCATTTTGTTGCTTGAAGGGGCAAAAAAAAAAGAGAAAGATAGATGTGATATTATAGAAACTATTTAATGTACTATTTGTTTGCATGTTATCAATATATAGAATCTGAATGTTATTACACACTATCATCTCAGTAACTAACATTGCAATTTCAAGTTATACATATAAAAGAATTAGAAGAAAACTTTTTTTTTACATCTGTTCAGGAATAAAGAAACTTTATGGCAAAATTTAAGGGACCATATTTTTTAGTATTCTGTATATGACACATTTGTGTATTTAAGCACTGTTTTTTAATTTTAAAAATAGTTTATTACAAAAGTAGGGCAAATGCTTTTGAAATCCCTAAAATGCCTACAAAAGAAACTAGGAAAATATTTGGAATATATAATGCTAAGTAACTCAAACTGGAAAATTTGATAATTCTATTTTCTAATAACAACATATTTTTCTACTATATCAAATCCAACATTTTCAATCCTCATCCTATCTGGGAAAGAAGTCATAGATTTCAACTTACTTAGATTTCAAAGAGCTTATTTTTTGCACAATGTCACAAAACCAAATGAAATAGCAAACTCATCCACTTAGTCGCACATGCCAAAAACCTATCATTCTTCATTTTATTTTCCTTCCTACATTACATTTAATCTATCAACAAGTACTATATATCTGTATCTAAAAGTATTAAATACACCCATTTCTCTCTCATGCCACTTCCACTCCCTTAGTCTTAGCCACCATTGTAGCAGTATGTGCTCTAAACACACTCTGAGGAGCTTACAATCTCTTCTCCATGGAGTATCCAGAGTGATCCTTAAAAGCACAGATCAAATCATGATTCCCTGTTTATATGCTCCAGTGGCTCTCCTTCACACTTAAAACACAAATTCTCTACCATGGTTTACCAGGCCTTCATGATCCTTTCTATTCCTTGAATATCTAAAGTTTGTTCCAACATCAAGGCCTTTGCATCTGCTGTTCCTTCTCCTTGGTAAGCTCTTCTGGCAACTTATAAGACAGGCTAATTTTTTTTTTTCCATTTAAGTCTCAGCTGAAACATCAACTCAGTGAGGATTTATCCGAAATCCTTTCAAAATTAGTTTTACTCAGGAAACTCACTCAAAATCACATTATACTGCTCTTTTTTTCTTCACTGAATTATGTATCAAAACTTCAAAACTATCTTGATTACTTAATTTGTATATATGTGTGTGTGTATATATATATAGTATACATATAGTTGGTTTCCCCATCTGAAATATAAGCTCCTTGAAGTGATATGTCTTGTTTACCATTTTAATGCTGTCATCTAGAATCATGCCTGGTACACAGGGAGTGTTTAAAATTTTTTGTTGAATAAATGAATAAATTTGTTGGGGAAAATCCTCATATAGCCTGTCTGTTACAACTTTTCTGCCTCTGCTTACACCCAGTCCCAGTTGAAAGTTCAGCTGACTTCTTAAGATGTAGATGAGAATTAATGACTTCTCAGAAATTTTCCACAAGTCATCATCGCTGTTCTTGAAAACTTCCTATCTCTTTAGTAGAATACTTACGTATAGTATACATACTTATATTACACACACACATTTTTGAGGTATTTTACCTAGACTTTACTTTTTTCAGATCTGTTTATGTGTCATGAGTTGGACCATAAACTTCTTGAAGTCATGGGCTTCTATATCATTTCTTTCCTCTATTTACAGTAATGACAATACTCTCCATCTAGTAGGTGGAGGCAAGGTTAAAAAATCAACTACTTTTTAAACCTATTTTTCTCACAAAAAGGTGAAAATTAATGTAAGATGTAATAAAATTAAGAACTCAGGTAAAAGTTTTCTTCCTGTATTTTGTCCATTCTAAGAGGGTATGTGGGGACAGGAGCAAAAGCAAAGGCAGAACTTCTATTCATAAACATTTTATCTTTTTCTGTATTAGATTAAAAGAAAAATGACCACTCCACATTGTTTCTAAATTATGTCAATAAAATTAAAATATGGCAGGAAAAAACACTGATACATCTTCAGGGCATTGAAAAGAATAATTATGAATTATTGTACTAAATAATATTCTGAATAACAATATTAATTAATTCAGCCATTCCAAAGAGATTAATACATATCTTTTAAATATCAGGCACACACAATTATAAGGAGGTTGATACCCATACCCTCATGAACTTTACAGTCCAGTCCATCCAGACAGTTCTTCATTTCAATAAGAAATTTCTGAATAATTAACAATTTGACCACTCGTTAGCCTTTAAATCCATTGTGGTAATATAACATTTTTATTCTACTCCAGTTTTTCAAAGGCAAAGAGAGACTTTAGCCTTGCAAACAGGTTGAAAATAATCTATTAGCTGTTAATTTTTTAGTACCTTTATATTGAAACAAAAAAGAATTTATAATGATAAGGATGTTGACAGAAAAGCAGGAAATATTAGTGCCTAACAAAAGTCAGTTCTAAGTCATGAAACATTGATTTTTCATTAAAATTGTACTTGTTCCTGGCTTGGCTTCGCTTAGATATGCTTTCATTTCCCTCAGGCTATAGTCTATTACTCTATTACTAATATACTTTTCTGTAATTTCCTCCCTTCTGAGTTCAGGAAAAGAAAAACCTTAAATCAGATTAATTTTTGACAACTTGTGCATAGATCCAACAGGCAGGAAGAATGATACACACTTGCTCCCTTGCAGGAGAAAAGAGTGTGATTATCAGCAAGAGTGCTCAGGCACTCAGAGGAAAAACTACAAAATTCTGCTCACTGATTACAAGTTTTCAGAAGGGCTAGCAGCTTTCCCCAGGCTAATTCCATCCTAGGGACCAAGAAAAGCCACATCCCTGCCCAAAGTTTCTGAATGGCTAGGCGAATCTACCACAGTTGATCCTAACTTCCATCCCTTTAAAAAAAAGTGGTAAAAAAGTATCTGAAAATTTATTGCTAATGTTTTCCTATTTCCTTCAACGTGCAGCAGACTAAAAATAAAACATCTTAGTACAATTTAAGAAATTAAGACTAGGATTTCAGGCCCTGAAGCCCATTTAAATATAGATTTTTTTAAACCCTTGCTTTTAAACCACCCTCCACTTTTGTAAATTCTGTGAGGGATGAAACACAAGAGTGCAATTTAAGAGTGGAGATTGTGGAGTTGTTCAAGTTCACCAGTGGTGACTCTAATGGAAATGAATTCAGTCAAAAAGTTTCTAAACGCATGGAGTACAACCAAATGGAGCTTCCACAGTTTTACTGTAACTTCTTGACAGATAAACTGTTCTTTTTCTTCTCATGTTTGTTATTTTTGAATGTCTGTCACTTACAAAAGCATTTCATCCATCTGCACAGAGAAAAGGGCACCAATGAAAGATTTGACAAAGGCAGCATCAGACAAAATTAAGATTATGAAGAAAATGCTTTTAAAAAAACAAATTCTTCATCAAGTAATTAGTGAATAGACCACAAAAGAAAGAAGAATGGAGAAATTAGACAAAACATGATCAGTGCTGGTATGTCTTATGCATTTGGATTTTGGATAAAATCTTGCATGTACTTCTACTCTTTTGTAACAAGTGATTGTTTCTTAATATTGGAATACATGTTTAAAGTGCAAGCTAGCACTGAAGTCAAAGATTTTTAGAGGGAGTGAGGAAGGACTTATATCATCATTGCTTACCATAAGTAATATTCTGAGTAAATAATAATCTGACTTAGACATTCCCAGGATATAAACATACAAAATGAAGAGGTAAACTCCAGACTATATGAATCTTTAGTAATTATACATCAACTTTAGGTTTATCAAACAAATGAAAAATGAATGCCCACATGTATACCTTAGCTTTTGGAATTTTTTTCTTTCCATGGCTTCTAGGGATACTGTCTGTTACTGATTTCCAGCTATATCTGGTGCCAGTGAAGATAAGTTCCACCAAAGTACCTATGGCAAGGCAGTCAAAGTGTTTTCTGGTATTTTAGACTGACACCAAGAAAGAGATTCACTATTTTAAAAATATCATGGTAATGATTAGGTTACATGAACTTTAAGTGCTTTCTTGCAATCATTTGTGAAATACCTGAACCTTTACACTACATATTGGAAACTAGCCACTATTTTTACTAAAATTCCTAAGGGAAAATAAAAACTTAATATCAGTTCAAACACTATATGCTGCAAATAACAGATTACCTACTAGTAGTGATTTCCATAATGACTTTTTTTTTTTCAAATACAGATATCTAAAATTAAGGAAGTCCAGCAATGGATATCTGAGAACCTCATGGTTGTTAGGGCTCTGAGTTGGCTAATTTGTTTAGACAATATGGCTCAACTTTCTGAACACCATATCCTGATAAAACAATGCCCCTAGGTAAAAGGGATGAGTTGGGGGTTGTCCTTCCCACCTCTCTGTTTATAAATCAGGAAGGAAAACATTTCTTTGAAGTCCTACGTTCTAAGAAGATGTAGCCTTAGATCTCTCATGCCAAGATAGGATTACATCTACGACGCTAAACCAATCACTGGCAGAGGGTGAATGGGACTTGCTTAGACCAGTTGTTGACCTGACCAGCAGTGTCAGGGGTAAACTCATTAGAAATGCAAATTCTTGGGCCTCTTTCCAGGCCCAGTGATTTAGAAACTGTGGAGTTGAGGCCCAGCAATCTGCTTAACAAGCCCCCAAGTGATTCTGACTTAAGCTTAACTTTGAGAAGAGCTGATTTAGAACATTCTAGCTCATCCCCTGGATTTGACCCACCTTCTCTGAGCAGATAAGGAAAAATTCTCCTCAAGGTTCCGCATATGTTCCCTCTGCCTCTAATGCTCCTGCCCTACATGGGTGATGCCCTCATTCCCTTCAGGTTTCTGCTGAAACATTACCTCACCAGCGAGACTTTCTCTGATAACTGTATATAAAGTAGTAATGCCCTAGACACATTCTTCCAGTATTTCCTATCCCCAGACCCTTTATTTTTCTTCAAAGGATTTATCACCATTTGCCATGCCACATACAGTCAGCCCTCTGCATTCATGGGTTCTGCATCCGAAGAGTCAAACAACCACAGACTTACACTGTATTTGGTATTATAAGTAATCTAGAGATTAAGTATACAGAAGGATGTACATAGGTTACAGGCAAACACTATGCCTTTTCATATCAGGGACTTGAGCATAACTGATTTTGGTATCCTCGGGGTCCCGGGACCAGTCCTCCTTGGATACTAAGGAATGACTGTACTTATTTGTTTGTGTTTGGTCTATTTCCTTCAACTAGAATTTAAGTTCCATAAAAGCAAAGGCTTTACTCTATTCACTTTTCTATCCCCAGGGCCTACAACACTGTCTGGTATACTATGGACATAAAATAAATATTTGCTATAGAAATATTGATATCCAAATGAAATCAGAAATCAAAAAATGGCTCATGAATAGACAAGAAACATTATTAAATTAAAAAAAACCTCTTTCACCATAAATACTATGTTCAAATAAATTTACCTATATTAGAAATTTTTCCATTCTATCAGATTTCATAGCTTTTATCTATGGAAATGTCAGGTTTTTTAAGAAATAGATTTGACTAACATACAAACTTCTGCCAAAACTAAATGCTAAGTAACAAGGTTTGTTCTAAAAAATCCAGAAGTTCACAGGATGGGAAAATTAGATACAACCAAAGTAGTTTCAAAATATAAACTACTTACATAAACAGATTACAATACTTGCAATTTCCCATACCATTGGTTTTGTTTCTTAGTTTTAGTCTAAGGATTATTCAGCATCTTGATTTCTTATCAATGCCCGCTTGCTTTACTTTAAGAATAATTTTATGTAAACAAGTACATGGTTCCACAAATAACTATTTACATATTGAGAAAATTTTAAATGACATAATATGCTAAATATTATTAAATAATATAAAATAAAAATTCAATTGAAATGCCTCTTTTGTTAGTTTAATATGGATAAAGCATATTTCTAGTGAAATACTTTTAAAGATTCTTTAAGTAAATTTTAATATAATTTATATATTTGCATGATTCAGCACATTTAAATCTAACCATAAAAATGTTACTTGTTACGATAGTTTCCTTAAGAAACAAATAATCGCAGTATAAATTCTTGATGGCATCATGGCACAAAATTCTTAGCTGCTAATTTACAAATACTTGTGTGCGTGCATGAGGGTATAATGAATTAGGGCACTTTATAAATTACATATACAAAGATAGGCCAGGTGCGGTGGCTCACGCCTGTAATCCCAGCACTTTGGGAGGCCAAAGCGGGTGGAGCACCTGAGGTCGGGAGTTCAAGACCAGCCTGACCAACCCGGAGAAACGCCATCTCTACTAAAAATACAAAATTAGCAGGGCATGGTGGCGCATGCCTGTAATCCCAGCTACTTCAGAGGCCGAGGCAGGAGAATTGCTTGAACCCAGGAGGTGGAGGTTGTGGTGAGCGGAGATCACGCCATTGAACTCCAGCCTGGGCAACAACAGTGAAATTCCGCCTCAAGAAAAAAAAAAATAGATAGAGCAAATCAATATCAAACAATCTCAAACAGTATTTTTTCAGTAGAGAGAACTGAACCTAAAGACAGTGAGCATGCAAGTTGCACAATGATCCTGTCTCATTGTACAAGTGACTCTCTAGTGTTGCTCCATGTTCTTAATGTATCACAGACACCTTCCTTGAGACGTATTCTCCTTTTTGCTTTCAAATATACAGCTAACCAAATTCCGTTTCATATTTTAGAACAATTCTGGTTTTGAATAGGCTATTTTATAAATGGAAAGCCTTTCTTGATTTCTAGTACAATTGAGATAAACTCTTCCACTCCATTCTTGAAGCATATCTTCTCAGTGACTTTATTTGTCTCAACTGCAATGAACATAACTCCCAGGATATCTCTTCTCTTGCATCATAATATGTAACCACATGACTATTTATTTTAAACATTATGATGCTGATTATTTAATTCATATGTTTAATAGTCAAGCCAAGGTCTTTATTCTCTTTATGTGCTGGCTGCCACCAGAGATACAAGGCAGGAAACAAACTATTACACTAAGCATTTTTAATTTTTAGTTTAAGTTTTTATAGAAATAGGTCTTGTTATATTGCCCAGGCTGATCTTGAACTCCTGGGCTCAAGCAATCCTCCTTCCTCTGCCTCCCAAAGTGTTGGGATTACAGGCACGAGTCATGGCATACAGCCGATACTAGGAATTTTTTAGAATGATTTTTACACGCTGAAAAATTTTCAAAATGATGTTATTTCAGTATGTATGCTAATTGTTCTTAGATTTAAATTCTTTCACATTGTTCTTCAAGAATTTTCAAACTTTTAAAAATTTCCTGGTCTCTTGTTCCACATCTGATACTTGTACTCTCTGCACAGGACTTCATTTAATTTGTTTAAATGGATAATCTAATACACTTCTCAATTTTTTCTGTTGGTGTCACTTGTCCATTTGCCCTCACAGGTTCAATTATTCCCTATTGTTTTAAAAGATATGTTTCTGCATTTGTTCAATTATATCACTGCCTACTTCCTCTAGAAATGTATTCTTTCTTATATATATTCAATATTTTTTGCTCCATTGGTAGGTTTCCTCTGATAAATAAAATATGCTCCAGTCTCTACCATGCTTAATAATTCTTTCCTAAATTAAAGTCCTAGCAATCTCCTTTTTATCAGTAATGTATTTCTGGAAAAGAAAGTCTCCCCAACCACTTTATTTTCTCAGCTCCAGTTCATGCTAAAGTCTTGCTTCTATTCGCTATCTTTTTGCCCAGTCACTCTAATTGAATGCTCCCTTTTCTAAACTCAACCATAGACATCCCAGTTTGCAAACCCAGTTGCCTCTTCTCATCCTATTTTATTTGAGCTTTCCATGCTGCTTAAAATATTAACTATCGTTTATAAGCCCCTTCTTGGTATATCTTCCTTTCGTCAGTGTTGTGACAAGGCACTCCACTGGTTATGCATCTTTCGATCCGGTTGCTTCTATTCTAGCTTCTCTCCTACCTCACTTTCTTCCTCCTACTGTCTCAAGATGGGTATCCTGCAAGGAGCTCTCCTCATCTTTCTATATTATCTTGTTCATATGTTTTTACCACTCCCAAGTTCTAAGTTCTCTAGTTCCAGACATTCTCCACACTTTTATTTCTAGTTTTTCCAATTACATTTATGTTAGCTATTTTTTGGTACCCTACACTTGGCTTTTCCAAAATGGCATAAATCATTTTTTTTTTAATCTCAGCCTTTGTTTCTAGTGTTTTCTGTCTCTGTGACTGACATCACATCTTCCTAGTGTGGTTGGCTCAGGACAGAAGTTCAGCATCATATTTAAGTCTTCAGCTTCCTTGTTCACAGCAGATACACACCAAGACATGTTAACTTGTACTCCACCATCATATCCTCCATATCCTTATTTCTTATTCTTTAATGTAATCACTCATCTGCTCCCCATATTTTAGTATAACAGCTTTAAAATTCACTTATATGTTGGAAAAACACACAAAGTTACAGAAAATTTGCAAATACACTACTCCCTTGTTTTCACTTTACTAAGCATGAAGAGTAAGTGACTGCCCTGATGCCTCCATTATCCAGAATACTTTAGTATTTCCCATAAACAAGGACATTTTCCTATAGATCACAAAATGACGTTCAAACTTAAGAAAATTAACTACTGTCTAAACTTCAGATCCCATTCAAAATTCCCAATTGTCCTAATGATGTTCTTTGTATCTAAATGATCTAATTAGTTATATTTAGTTGCTATATCTCTTTGGTCCCCTTCAGCCTGCGCAGTCCAGCCTTCCCTTCACTTTCAAGGCCTTACGTTTTTGAAAATTATAGCTCAGTTATGTTGTAGAATATCCTCAATTTGGATTTGTCTGATATTTTAAATGTTTAGATTAAGGATATACATCTTTGGTTGGAATATCACAAAAGTGATGCTGTGCTTTTCTTGCATCCTAGTGGGAAACCATAATGTCTTTCCCAACATGGATACTGTTCACCTTCATCATTTGGTCAAAGCATCTGCTAGGCTCTTCCAATGTGAGGTTAATCTGTACCCTTTTATAATTATTAAGTTTTTGGGAGCTACTTTGAAACTATGTAAATACCTGGTTTCTCATCCATCTTTCTCTATTTATATCAGTAAGGACTTGTGCTTTCCTATTTTATTCAGTGTTATAATCAATCACCATCTTTATTTTGATTCTCAAGTAATAGGCCTCTAGTTCAGCCAATGAGGGGCCCCCTTGAGGTTGGCAATTGTGTCCTCTTGCTATGCCCTCATTATTTTTTTAGCGCTTTCTGGCAAATAATAATAATAATCTAGTTTCATGTTGTACTTTCCTTGTTCCAGCCCTGGAATGAGCCATTTATCCAAAGAGCCCCAGGTACTTTTATTGGATAATGGTATTTAGACACCAACATCTGGATATTAGGCATATTTTCCATCAGTATGTTGTTGCTCCCAGGCTGTCTCAGTGGACTATGTGTATGGAACACACACACACACACACACACACACACACACACCCCTATACACACAGTTTCACCTGTGTTTTTTAACTTTCTCCCTGCACCCCCACACCCTGCCACACACGTAATCTCTGCCATCTCTGCTGTCACCTCCTTCCCTGTGCGGCTGTGCTCCTCACTCCATGCAGACTCAGGCAACCGGCACATGATCAACCTCTGCCTGGAAGTTCACACACCTAGACTGATAAGGCTCTGACATGCTGTATGGGCCACCCTCTTGCGTGGACACCCTCTTAACCTCCCTCAGAGTCTGACTCCCCACCCCCAAGCTCTTCATCTTGTTTGGATTCTGATACCTCACACCATGCTATGCGTCCCTGACAAGTCCCCTTTTCACCACACTTGGGCTCTGATTTCCCAAGGTGGATTGCCTACTGTGTTGATGTTCTACTCACCCTAGTTGGGCTCCAAAACCCCAACAGTTCACCTCCACATGTGGACACTCTACTCCCTGCTCAAGCTCTGACTTCCCACATGGGGTTGTGCCACCCACCGTCCCCATGAAGACAAGCTTCTGAATCTAACTGACTTCTGAAATGCCACACGAGGCTGATACTCTGTGAGACTGCCTCCTCCATCCGACTCAGGCTCTGACAAGGTCTGTGGGACCACTGCTGCTGCTTTCATCTCTCACTGGTGTGGGTCCTACCATGCTCTGCCCCACCCCAATGGTTGTGAGATGAATTTTTAAGGAAAAAAAGGGAAGAAAAGAGAAAAGGCTGAGAAAAAAGAGCTACACCAGGCTTTCAGCTTGTTTCTTCACCTCTACTATTTAACTGCATCAATCTAACATATATGCTATTGAGATTTTTTTTAACCCAAAATGTTACATATAGCTGGGATTAACTTGCTTTCACTTCAAAAACTTTCAGTGATTTGCTGTTGCCTTTACAATGCAGTTTGAATTCAAGATGCTGTCCAATACCAACATAAACTTTCCAGCTTTTATTTCCCTGCATTGATATGAATGAGACAGAAAACTTTTATTCTTTAGATGTAAAGCATGTTTTCCAGTCCTATAGCTTTTGTTCTACCTAATTACTTCTAATTGGATCATCTTCCCTTTCATTTCCAACTGTCAAAATAATGTCCATCTTGGAAAGTAAGATTTAATGTTACTTCCTCCATAAAATTCTTCTCTTAGCTTCTCCACCATAAGCAATTATGAGTAATAGTAATAATAGCAATGAATTATAAGTATGTATTAAAAATGTCTCACATGTACTTTACTAGAAATTTCACATCTATTATTTCTGCTCTTTTGTTAGTTCTGAAAATTAATAATTTTCAACTCCAATTCCATTTTATATACAGTAAGAAAACATCAGCACAGAGAGTTCAGATGACTTGTTCAAATCCTAATAGCCAATAAATAGCAGAGGGGGGATTTGAATCTAGAATCTAGTCTGAATCCAAGGCTAATGCTATTTGCAGTGGGACACAAGCATTGCTCACTACACTTTTCCAGCCACTTTGTCTTTTTTCCTTTGAACATAGCACATTTGTATCATACTTTACTTAAGTTTCACATATTACTTAAAAGAATACAAACTCCTTGAAGACAGATTCATTCATGTTTAATTTCATATCCCTACCCTCAGAGAGCCTTGACCATGGAGAACACTTAGCACAGAGAAGAATGAACCACGGACTAGGGGTCAGGAGGACCAGCTTATAATCCTGCTTTGCCACAGGTCATGAGGATATGAAATGACACTTTAAATAGACCCTTAACTTCCCTGATCCTAGGATTCCATGTTTCTAAAAGGCTGTGGTGGTGACTGTATGACTTTTATTTCTATCCAAATTAAACCCCTGAGTTGTTTGATTTAATAAAGAAATAAATAACTTTAAACATAAGAGAGTTAAAAAAATCCTATCACATCCATCTTTCTCTTTCCATATATTTGAAAGTTTTTTGGCACTTTCAATTTTAAGAAACTATTTCATTAAAAAGTCAAATTTGATCATTATCTTTAGAAAACTGAAAAGTTACAAAGTTTATTTTGACAAAGAGCAATTTGAATTCACTTTTTCCAGTAAACAGCCCTCAAAGCACTTTCTAAAGGACTCAAAGAATAAGAAAAACATACTAAAATAATAGCAAAAATTAAAAAGGGGTAGTTTAACCTGAAAATGATCTACAACCAATGTATATAAATGAACTGGCCCTGTGATACTTGTTTTGATATTTATAATTTAAATATGCTTAAGACCTAAGTAATGGTGTAGAGTTGGATATATTTTTTCTATTGGATTATAACCATTCATGAATTTGGGGTTACTAAATTCCTTAGCAGTGTCCTTTTTCATTTATACATTTTTTTTCTATCTCCTCTTCATTTTCTTAATGTCTTTGTATTCGCCATGATTATTGCCTAAACATTTCCTCCATTGCTTATTGTTTTTTGTTTTGTTTTGTTTTGTTTTACAGACAGGGTCTTGCTCTGTTGCCCAAGCTGGAGCGCAGTGGAGTGATCATGGCTTACTGCTGCCTCGAACTCCTGGGCTCAAATGATCACCCTGCTTCAGCCTCCCAAGTAATTGTGACTATAAGTGTGTGCCACCATGCCCAGCTAATTTTAAAAGTTATTTTGTAGAGATTGGGTCTCACTGTGTTGCACAGGTTGATCTCAAACTCCTGGCTTGAAGGGATCTCTTGCCTTGGCTTCCCAAAGCACTAGGATTACAGGCATGAGCCACCATGTCTGGCCATGCTTAAAGTGTCTTTAAATTTTTTCTGGCTCCCTTACCAGAAGTGTCCATTATTCAGAACATAAGCGCTTTTTTTTCTTTTTCTTTTCTTTTTTTTTTTTTTTTTAAATCTTGGAATTAGACTTGTGTAAGCCCCGGCAATGTGGCCTTTCTTTTCCTTTCTTCTCCTTTTCTTCATTTAGATTGTTGCTAATAGTGAGCATAATACTATGGTTTTGGAATGACCTGTGGATGCCTCTGTGAAGCTTCCACTTTGTTTTCCCCTCCCTCTTTCCTCTTTAATTTCTCTGGTTTTCCAGCTTTTATTCAGCACATAGCTAACGGTTAAGAAGTAGTCAATGAGAAGGGCCTAAGGTCAGGTTTTTAAGGGGCCTAAGGTCAGATTTCTATACTTACTTAAACTTCTGTTCAATGCTATATCTACTTACCACCACAATTCAAAGACCTCACGTCATCATGTATTTTTATTCCTTAATCTTTCTGTTGTTTTCTTTATCCATACCTGAACATACCTGAAATATGCTTTTCTTTTTTTTTTTTTGAGATGGAGTCTCTCACTATCTCCCGGGCTGGAGTGCAGTGGTGTGATCTTGGCCCACTGCAACCTCCGCCTCCCGGGTTCAAGCTCTTCTCCTGTCTCAGCCTCCCAAGTAGCTGGGATTACAGGTGCCCGCCACCACACCCAGCTAATTTTTTGTATTTTTAGTAGAGATGGGGTTTCGCTATGTTGGCCAGGCTGGTCTCGAAGTCCTGACCTTGTGATACACCTGCCTCGGCCTCCCAAAGTGCTGGGATTACAGGTGTGAGCCACGGCGCCTGGCTAGAAATATGCTTTTAAATACCTGTTCTCCCTTTTTACTCAAGTAAGAGTTTGAAAACCTGAACTGCATACATATTGGGTGTAGAAAGATAGTAAAAGTATGAATGGGTAATGGATAAACATAATTTTTAGGATTGTTCAGCAAATAATTAATGAATCAAGGTATTATATAAGCTGGTATACAATCTGAATGGCAAATGACTAAATGAGCTGTCATTTCTTAGAAGGTTCTAAAGAGTGTTTTCAAGAAATACTTTTCAGAAGTGTTTCAAATAAAGTAGGCCCATATTCTCTACTTAGGGAAGGATTTGGGGGAGATACAGGCTATGGGTGACTTTATCTTATGTCATAACTCATTATCTAAAGGAAGTCCTTAAATTATCCCTCAGATTTCTCTCTTAGTGTCAATAATGATTAATTTTCTAATTATTTTTCTACATCCAATTTTCTACTTCCTTAATTGTATGTATAATTTTTGGAATTTTCTCTAATTTCTTCAAATATTCTTTTAACTAGCCCTTGAGACACTTGATATAGATATTGTACAGAAAAGAGTTAACGTAGCAGGACTAAGACTGAAATTCTTGGAAAGGGCGGCTTGCAAAGTTGACCTTGGACTGATGTCCGGGAACTCGGATTTGGGAGGTTTCCCATCATTCCCTGAGAAGAGTGGTTCATTGTGCCTAAATTGTGCAAATAATGTGCTTTATGCTAAAAGTCTAGTTTCCTTCTGGGAGAAGGGAATCTTGGCAGATGATAGCAAGAAGGGGTCCATGTGACCAGTTCCCACTAAAAACCTTAGGAACCGAGTCTCTAATAAGCTTTCTTGATAGACAGCATTTCACATGTGCTGTCCCAATTCCATCCTGGAGAAATTAAGCATGTCCTGTGTGATTCCATAGGAAGAGGCTCTTGGAAGCTTGCACCTGGCTTCCTCTGAACTTTGTCCATGTGACTTCTCCCTGTCCTTATTCTGCTTTGTATCCTTTCACTGTAATAAGTCGTAGCCATGAGAACAGGACAACTCACAGGATGACTGAGTCCTCCTTGTGAATCACCGAATCTGAGGGTAGTCTCGGGAACCCCTGAGACAGATACATATCTAGATAATATAATATTTAAATCATAATACATCTATATAGGTACTGCATACCTTTTAACTTTTATTAGTTATTTTACCTCTTTTTTACAAATTAAACAATAAAGTGTATATTCTTTGTTGTCTGCCTTTTACTCAAATAATGTTGGTTATACTTATGTATATTATTTTGTGTAGTCATAGTTTGCATTCTTTGCTTTAGAGCATGGCATTATGTGAATATGCCCAACTTACTTATCCAATCTACTACTGGTTGTTGCTGGGTTATTTCCAGTTTGTTGCTTTTATAAACAGTGCTGCTATAAATTTTGTACTACATGTTTTTGGGTGTATTAACATACATATTTCTTTGGTGAGTATCCCAGGAATGGAATTGTTGGGACATGGGTTTACTTTCAGTCCATGTTGCTAGACAGTTTTCCAAAGTGGTTGTGCAAATTTATACCCCCACCAGCAGGATGGTAGGAGATTTCCAGTTATTTTACATCCTTCTTAAGACTTGGTATTTTCTACACTTTTTCATTTTACTAATTTTGGTATAGGTGTAGTGGAATCACATTGTGGTTTCAATTTGTATTTTCCTGTTGAGCACCATTTCATAGGTTAATTGATCATTTTGTATTTCCTTCTCTCTTAAGTGCTCAAGTGTTTTCTCCATTTTCTAATGGATTGTCTCTTGTCTCCTCACTAGTTTTAATAGTTTTTAAATATGTTTTTGATATGCCTTATTTCAGATATATTTATTACAAGTATCTTTTCTCCTCTGTAAATTCTATTTTACTCTCATAATGGCATCTTTTGACAGGAAAGAGGTCTTAAGTAGAATTTATCATTTATTCCTTTTTGTTTAGCATATTTCTATCTCCTGTCTAAAAAATCCTTGCCTATTATTTTTTTAAAAAATTGTTTAAATTTTTTTTTTCTGGTGGAGGATGGTGGAGTCAATCTTTGACTATTGTAACATCATAAAATATGTTCTATATTCTTCTAAAAACTATACTGTTATAACTCTTATATGTAGCTGTATTTTTTTATATAGTGTGAGTTAGGGGTCAAGATATAATGTCTTCCATATAGATATGGAAAAACTGTCATTTATTGAAAAGGGTACCTTTTCCCCTCTTCCCTACAGTTTTACCTTTGTCATAAAAAATGGTGAACGTGTGTGTGCATCTATTACTGGAGTTTCTCTTTCACTGGTCATAATTTTTATTCTTGTGCTATTACCACACTGTCTTAATTACTCTAACTTTATATTGGCCTTGATAACATCCAGGAACTGTATTTTAAGAGTAGCCTTGCATATTCTTATTCTTTTGCATTTCCATTTTGTCTTTAGAATCAGATTGTTAATTTTTTTAACAAAATTGGGATTTTGATTGCTTTAAATCTACACATTAATGTAGGAGCACTGACATTTCACCAATATTGAATCTTCTAATCCATGAACATGGTGTGCCATCCCATTAATTTAGGTATTGTTTAATTTCTCTCAATAAGATTTTGTAGTGTTCAGTGTAGAGATGTAATCTATCTTTCACCAGATATATTCCTACACTAATTTTTAGAGATACATTATAAATGACAACATCTTAAAATACTGTTTTGTTGCTGCTACACTATTGATTTTTGAATATTGATGATATAACCACCTACCTTTTGAATTTTTTGCTGAAATGGATTATAAGTTAGTTCCCTTAGGTTGTACCAATTTATGTTTTTCCAGTCTCTTCTAAGTATGTGATTACAGCATTACAAATTAGGTTAGAAACTCTATCCTTTCCACAGTTAACACTGACAGTTTGATCAGTTTATGAATGAATGTCATCACTTCTCTCCCGTAGACGTGGCCATAAATGTAAGGTACCTGCAACAGGCTCCTCAGGAAAGAGAGGGTAATAGGTCAGAAATCTTCTCATAAAACAGTTTAATTTCCATAAAAGCAAAATGCTTGAATCATCTTCAGGTCCGTTCTATTTTTTTCCATTTCTCTCTATATCCTAGCATCCCAGTTATCATTCTGTCAAAAATTATTAGACTAGTAATACTCCATATGCAAACAATAATAGTTTGTAACTTTTAAAGCAAAGAAATATTTAACTTCCATCTAACTTGGGGTTGGGATGAAAACAGTGATCATGCACCCTTGAAGGTCCTCAACTCATATCTTTTCTGTTTCGGTGACTTGGCTATTTCTCTAGGAACATGGTGGAGAAGAGTCTACTTATACTAGCAATGAGAGCAGAGAGAGAGGTTCCGGGGTCCAATGTGAAGTGAATTAAGATGAAATCAGTTAGACACAGGGTATTCCAGATATACAGTAGTAATGGTGAACTGTCGCCAACTTTAAGAATAATTCAAAATGCTGGGAAAAGATGAATGTTGAAAATTGTATGTGTTACTCCTTTTTAATTTCTAGTTCTGATCTTATGCTTGAGAACTATAAAAATATTCAGAGCTATTATTTCTACTTTGACTGTAAAATTTAAAGACATCCACCAATGAAGTCAGAGTTTCTCATTAGCAAAACATGGTACATTCTTATGCTACTTAGTTATGTCCATCCTTAAGACACTTGATAGAATTTTAATCTCTCATTATAATGTCCTGTATCCCGAATTTAAGACTTATTATAAGAAGTAATAATAGCTAGATTCTCTTTGGACTCTGTGCTCTAATATATCAACTCATTCATTCTGGTTAATTCATTTGAATAGGTCCTTCACATTGAAATGTGAGTACCAGGAAAGCAAAGAAGCTATAGAATATGGTCATAAGAATAGCAGTGATTACAATGAAAAGACAATTTGAGCTAAACTGTCTTCCTATCACAGAATTCAGCTGAAGAAAACTCATTTGAATAAAACTGATATAGACACAGACTAGGATTAAATTTAATTTAATTCACATTAGTTTATAGATTATATTTTTAACTGACTGCTTTGTTACTAAAATAAAGTCTTAGCTTTGGCAAAAGTATTCTATATTAGAATATGAAATATATATCACAATATAAATGCACAGTTAAAGAAATAAAAACAACTCTAGTTATTTAATAAATTTGTCTTAACTCACATATTGCTCTGATACTTTTCATAATTGCAGACAGTACTGTAACCTGTTTGATTAAACGTGAAAGCAGAAGCATCTACCTTACGTTTTGTTCAAATTCAATTACCAACTCAACAAATATTTATTGTATCTAATATGACTCTCACTCTGTATTTGTCCCTGGCATATAGTGATGTATAAGACTATTAAATCAGAGCTTCAAATTTGGCTAAATAATTTTTTTTTGTTTTAGTAAAATGTTTTATTTTCTATTATAAATATGATACTAACATGTAACAATGAACTCTGGCTTCTCCATACAAAATACAACTTTTTCTAAAATAAAGGGGATGTGAAAATAATTTCCAGAGAGAGAGTGAGTGAGAGAAACACACACTTTGTTCAAGGTACTTTGTCCCAGACTACATTTGGAATGTTTTAAGTTTTCAAAAAAATGAGAAAAAAAGCAACAGACTGTTGCATATGGCCTGAACAGAAAATTTGTGTGGTAAAAGGACACACTGCAAACTGGAATGTCTTATGGAGGGACACCAGATTTTCCAGAGAACTAAGTTCTTTTCAGCAAAATTGATCTAAATACAAAGGATATTAGGAAAGCAAGGTTCTAGCAAGGTTCTAGCTCTTCAGTACTCACAACTGACACTGGAAAGGGGGTGGGGGTTGGGAGGCAGGGGAGGGTCTGACTGTAGGGCAGCTGAAACACAAGACTTGCCCATAGGAGTCATCCAGGACCAAGAAAGGTCCTTTCTAGACCCTTTTCATTCAGCCCAGGGATTCCTGGGCAGGGTTGTCCTTCTCACTGAAAGTGGCTTATGTACTGAAGATGCACCTCGTCTGATAGAAGGAAACCTTCACTGAAGCTAGCAAGGTGAGCCTTTCAAACTCCAGAGACTCCTCTATAATATTCTCAGTGCTGTTTCTAACTCTGGCCATGCAATTTTTAATGTATAATTCATTTTTTTATATTGGGAAATACTTTACCTATCTACCTATATATCCACACACAAATTTATAAGAGTAAAGTGCACACATTTTAAATGTACAGTTGGACAGATTTTTACCTACATATGCACCTGTGAAATACTGAACCACTCCTTCACCAGAAGGTTCCTTCATGCCTCTTCCCAGTCATATGATTATGCCATTTTGACTATTAAATGTTTCTTCAAAACGCCCTGTCAGAAAACTTTTTATTTTCATATTGAAAAATTTCACACCAAAGCTGACCATACTTGCATGTTAGTTTAAAATGTAGTCAGGCAATAAGTTGATGTTACTTTAACAAATGTGGTAGTTTTTCTTTTTCATTTCTTTTCTTTTCTTTTTTTTTTCCTTTTGAGACATAGTCTCACTCTGTCACCCAGGCTGGAGTGCAGTGGTACAATCATAGCTCACTGCAGCCTCAAATTCCTAGGCTGAAGCAATCTTCCCATCTTCCAAGTAGCTGGAGCTACAGGCACAAGTCACCATGCCTGGCTCATTTTTTTTAGTTTTTGTAGAAACAGGGTTAGCTTTTCATATGTGGAAAAATGCTAAAGGTTCAGAGAAGAAAATATATTAGACCAGGGCAGAAACATTAAAAAACAAGCGAACAAAAAACCCTTAGTTTCTCCCCTGTCCTAGCAATCTCGATCACGAAAATTTAGATTTGTTTTTATACATATTTCATTCATAACTGTCTAACATAAGTTATGTCCCTCTTAAGTACAAAATTATTAGCATAATGATAAGATAGTTAACACATGTACTGTTTATAATATGTTAAGCACTATTTAAGCACTTCATATATATTTTATTTTATTATTTTAGAGACAGGGTCTCACTCTGTCACCCAGGAGTACAGTGGCACGATCATAGCTCAACGTAAACTGGAACTTCTGGGCTTAAGCGATGCTCTCGCTTCAGCCTCCCAAGTACCTGGGACCACAGGTGAGCTCCATCAAGCCTGGCTAACATTTTTTTTTTTTTTAAATTTTCAGTAGAAACAGGGTCTTGCTATTTTGCCCAAGCTGATATCAAACTCTTGGCCTCAAGCTATCCTCCCACTTTGGCGTTGCAAAGTGCCAGGAGCCACCGTGTCTGGCCTATATATGTTATTTTAATCCTCACAACAATAAGAAGGTGTAGGTACTCTATTATTTAATTTTTGGAATGAGGGTTTACATAAGTTTCTCAATACTAAAAAATTCCTAAGGGACACAGTCAATATTTGAACTCAGATAGTGTAAGGCCAGAGTCCTTTCTCTTACTCACTACACCACACCACACTGCATTCCTGAGATCCAGAAGTGTAGCAGAGCTGGATTATTAGACAAATAATGGACTATTTTTTACCACTTCAAAGTTTCTGTCAATTATTCTATGCCACATGGTAAGACTGTTTCCAGGATCTCAATCCTCCTATAGTTTAAATATCATGTGATATTTGTCATTTTTTTAAATTTGTATCGAGAGAGCGATAAAAGGACACAAACATCTCAGGCAAGAGCAAATAATGAAATAACTGAATAAAAAAGTTATGTTAGGGTAATATATAGCTACCATTTCTCAGTTACAGAAACATAGCATGACATATCTAAAGAACTTCAGAGGTCAATGTGGGACACTTTTACAATTTTGGTTCTACTTTAAATCTGGAAAAACACAGGTGATATAGACCTAAATGCTTTCTTCTATTATCTTTTAAAAATTTCAACTCTCGTTCCTGATCAGTAAGCTAAATTTTTAAAATAAAATCCTTATACATCGTATGTATCTGTGTATATTTTCTCTTTAAGAATTGCTTTTTTAAATAAAAACTACCAAAAGGAATCTTCATAAGTGAATTGAAAAAGTATATTTTTTTCTCTTCCATAAAGCTTCTTTATTATTCACAAGCGTCAAAGAGAAAGTCTTTCTTTATTGCCTTACAAATCAGGAGTAAAGCACAAATGCTGATTGAGCAGACTGATGATTAGATGGAGAAAACTGATGAAAGGAAAGATGCCAGTACAAACAGAATATGGCCATTGATTTTTACCCCAAATGAATCAACTACTGGACACAAATGTGGGTCTGCTACTAATTCCGGCAGCAAACCACCCCAAGAACCAACCCTTTGAGGAGGCCCACGTCTGCATGCAGACAGCTTTTTCATGTTTCTCTTGCTAGAATACACCAAGTAGCAATTTATTCTTTGTTGGCACAATCAAGTAACTCTTAAATGAAGAATTAAAAACACAGAGAATGTAGGAGACTTTCCCCCACTTGGAACTCTAAATATTCATTCAAAGATGCAAATGTTTTCTCTTGTCAAAGAAACTAGGCAGCTAAGCCATAATATGCCAGGTCAGCAGGAATTGCCCTGGTTATGAGCTAGCCATCACAGATCTGGTTTCTCAGAATAAGTTTTAAAAAAAGTAAATGATCTTCAAGCTAACTGCACTACTGATGAAGATATGGACTAATCTCTATCCCTATAATCTTATGTAAACATGAATTAGCTTGGTTCTTTTTATGTTTGATTGTCTACAATGGAAAGTAATAGAGGTTTTTAAACAAGCAACTTGCTATTTTCATCTGCTATTGCTGACGCTTTCCTAAGATATTGGTTGATCAGCAGCACAAGATTTTTCAGACACTAAATGGCAGAAATAAGCCCTTCTAAGGTTTTCTAGATCTTTCCTGTTATCATAACAAGATTCCTTCAGTCAAGTACTAGAGGATGGGAAGTAGCACCCCATTAGTTGTTAAAGACACCCACATGAGTCACAGAACTAACTATAACAGAAATGTCATATTTAGCCCTGAAGCAGGGAACAAAGTCCTTCCATTTTAGAAAGGGGGTGAGAGTAGTTAAAACAAGCAAAAAAAGCAAACCTCTTACCTTTTGTAGCAATGCGTACGCACTGGGTTTTAGTTTCCTGATAGAGTAAAAATGAAAAAAAAAAGAGTCAATGTACAGATAATGTTTCCTGTTTCATAAACTATAATTATTATGAAGATCCATCTGGGGTCATAAAAAGGGATTATAAACAACAGAATTTTAATATTAAGAAAACTTTAAAAAATATGCCCCCCTAGGGATACTTAAAAATCTAAAGTAAGAACTTTGAAAAATATTTTAGTTTTTATAGAGATGTAAATATTTGTTTTTACCTTGCAATGAAACAGGTTAGTTTGTGACAAGTAGTATAGCATTCTATTTTCATGTATAGTGCTTCGTAAACTATCAGAAAAATGTACTTGCAAAGCTAATAAAAACAGTTCCAAATATAAATTTAATTTTCATCTGAGAACTGTAGACTGAGACCAAAGCTGAACATTACATACTTTCATCTGGATCCTAGCATGACTAAAAAGCTAAATGATAGCAGTTAGAAAGATCATCAAAACATTACATCATAGTTATGGTGTAATTTATCTGTTCTTTCTTTCTTTTAATTTAGCTATTAGGAGTTAAATGTTTCTCAGCATACATAATTTTCCTCCTCTTGCTAGACAGAGCGGGTATACAAAGTAGAAGCAGTAGGAAAGGACAAGAAAAAATATGATTATTTTTAACGCTGTCAGGTGGCAGTAGGAGACACATGTCCCTGCCAGCTACTTTTGGCCCCACTCTTCCTCCTCTAGGACTTAATTGAGTCAGCGTACATCCCTGAATACACAAGAGGTGAGAAAAGGTATCAAAGCCAGTGAACAAACCAGAGGCGATCTGTTTGCAAGATGCATTTATAACTCTATCTTGAGTAGTTCTATATGTTGATAATTTATAAAAGAGTTTACAATTTCCACTTAAGCATTTTTTATTTTTTTATTTTTAAATTAAAATAAAGCAGTGAGGGGGGAATTAGTAATTAAAAATAAAATGTTGCACTTCTATTACTTGTGGCCTGAGACCTTCATGGTAACCTGCAAGAGATTATTTCACATTCCCATAAAGGCCCCAAAGGATTTTCATTTCTTAAAAGCAATTGCTGTTTAACTTTCTAATGGCATTACCAATCTCTACTTGTAGAAGTCACATCAACTTTAAAACTCTTTGCCAAGATAACTGTGAAATATATTGTTGCTATTCTGTACTTTGATTAAACCACAGTGCAGATATATTAACAATTGGAAGAGAAAATTCATATCAAAAAGCTTTAAAGAATGCAGAGAAAATCCTTTATAAGTAACAGACATTCATTAACACTCCTCTGGTATAATAGACCAAATAACCAAAGTTAATTTGGAACCTCTCTAAAGATCAAAACCCTCACACAAAACTATGCTTCCTACTCAATGCTATATTATACCCAGAATGGACTAATAACTTCCATTGTGTTCTGTTTTTATAGTAGCCCAGTTGTAACAGTGGTATGGAATGATATGTAGGCAGAAAGTGGACACTGGACTACTCTCTAAAGACCTCAGTTCTTTAAAGGTAAACGAGAAGAGCATCTTCAACCATGAGCAGCCTCTGACTCTGGAGCACATCTTAGAAGATGCTGTGGCCTTTTTCTTTGCTACCTACAAGCCAAGCATACAGGCAAGCAAACAACAAAGCTTTGATTCAAAAGCAGCCAATCAATACCCAAAGCTCTCACGGCCCCTGCAGAAATGCAAAAGGATTGTTATGTCTTCCAATTAAACTCTTTAAGATATAATATGACTGATGTAATTGTATATCATGTATCACTCCCAGGTGCTCACCTTAGGGACTCAATTACATAAACCCAGCAATTTCCTATACGGCTTCAAGTCTATTAAAATGTCATCATTCTATTGGATTTTAAATTGTGAAAATTTCTATCCTCAACATTTGTCTTCCCTCTATCTCTGTCTGCCAATAAATAAATAAATAAATAAATAAATAAATAAATAAAAATAAGTTTTAGGAAAGAAAATCTTCCAAAGAGAACAGCATGAGGCATGAAAGGCCAGGTTGTTTTCCCACATACGGAACTGCCGGTCGTTTCTAATGTCCTGTTGTGTTTTCCTCTTCAATATTCATTTGGGATCAGCAGCAGTGTTCAAAAACAACTGTGTCCAAAATGGGAAAAGGAGGGGCAACCAGGGAAACAGAGAGCAGCCTTCTGTAATGGCTCAGCAGCCAGTCATCGCCAGGCTGCCTTTTGTTTAGGTTCAGTCAGATATACCACAGGCGCCCTATTACTTTGTAATCAGAGGATTGTTACATGTTATTTACTATTTGGCTTGAAAACCCTGAAAAGTTTATAAGGTTTTATTAGCCTGCTGTGGAACACGCATTCTGTTTATCCTGCAGTAAATTTAATCTCTTGAAGTGTGCCACCACTGAGCAAGGAAGACAGAACAATGCCTGATCGTTACTGAGGGTGGAGTCCCAGCAGCAGCACACCCACGTTTTCAAATCATTTTACTCTCAATTGCTATTGTGGGCTTTCCTGAGGAAGGCTCGAGTAGAAGCAGTTACTAGGAAACAGGAACCCTGTGAAATGGAACTGGCGTGCGGCCTCAGCCCTACTGTAGCCCCAAAACTGCGCACACTGTTGAGAACAGAACCCCCTACATGCAAATTTTCTTTTTCTTTTTTTTTTTCTTGACGGATGCTACTGAGTATTCATAAAATTTGACTTCAGCTTTTCTTCAAAGCAGGGAAAAAGCAAATCCTGGAGGAAGCTCACCTTCTCCACACTGCTCATCGCCTGGAAATAGATGTTGTATCCTTTGCGCGGAGCCAAAGGAGGGTTCCAAAAGCCTTGGTAGGTCCGATTGTCACCCACAGTGAACGGGGCAGGCTCAGGTAGGTTTCCCGGGGGGAGTTCTGCAGCAAAGTAATACGGTGCACCCCCACTCATGGCATTTTGGTATGTGACAGGAACCTGGTAGCATTCCATGGCTCCGGCTTCTCTCTTGGTTCGGTGTGGGTGCAGTTCTTCCACAACAATCTGATAAGCACTTTGGGGAAAAGAAAAAAAGAACACACATATATATACACACATATTTAGAGATTTAAGATACTAAGATTTTTTTTAAGGGGTTGACTATTAACACACCACATTTCAAAGTATTTAAAGTTAGTCTTAACCTGGTATACTCTTTTCAGCTATTTCGCAATAAAATGAAAAATCCATATAGATGCTGCTGTCCCTAACATCACTGTAGTTACAAAGAAACTGATAAAAAGAAGAACAATCACCGTAGGACTTTCAACATTTTTAAATGTTGAGGAATGAGCCACCCTAATAAGGATTCTGACATTAACCAAAGACACATCATAGATTCAGTTCTTTGTCTGATATTTTTAAATGTTTAAAGTTAACATTTTCCCTTGAAATGATATTACAGAAAGTCCAGCTCCAAGGTCTAACAGAATGACTGCCTCAGGGCGGTGCTAGAAGCACCCATTTGTGGTTGTCACAGCCTCAGAGACAGAATGTACTGACAGGCTTCTCCACCTCTTGACCTTGCCATGGCATCTACACTGGCTCAGAGCTATGTAGATCTAAAATACAAGTGACATGCGGCAATACGGGCACAGATGGACAGAAATCTGTCCTCACAACCGAAATAGACCGCCTCCTTCTTCTGGAGTTGTTAATAATAAAATGTTACAAATTGTAGAAACAGATGGCATTTGGCCTATTAAAGCTCTAACCTAAACCTTCTGATATCTTTAAGTCTTAAAACTTTTCTATAATTGCAATTACTTTACAAAGGAGAGAAAAAAACAAAAAGAAAAACAAGGCAAATTTAAAATAAAGATCCCCCGGATATCTAACAATATTTTTTAACAACTCTGAAGCTGGTATATTAACAATATTCTTTTTTAGTAGAAAATTCTTTACGTTAAAATTTTTTCAGGTAAAATATTACCATGAAAGTTGACATTATTATTATAATATATTTTATACATTATAAATATATTTTAAAATGTTTTAAAATTCCTAAAAATTCTGGAAAAATATATGTGGTATCTTAGGTAAGTTGAACATAAATTGTATGCAGGGCTGCATATTGATATTCAATGGATCTCCAGGAGGAACAGAATACATTCTTTAAAAGACTTCCATGAAAAAGAAAGAGGTGGGTAGGTAGAGGGGAGTGGGGAGGAGAGGGGGAGGGAGAAAGAGAGACAGAGAGAGAGAGGAGAGAGAGAGATACACTGAACATGCATCTATGAAAATTAAAACAGTTTAGACTCTGGCATAAAATTCTAATTTAATATAAACTCTTATGCCTACAAATAAAAGATCTTCATAGATTAAACAAAAGGACATCAAAAGAAAGAGTTAAATCATAATTTAATTGATAAATTACAGATTTTCTTTTCTTCCTAGTTATTTAAGCTCCCATTTTCCATTAAAATATTGCTAATAAATCAGTAGGTTCATATCCATCTTGTTTCCTCTAAAAAGATAACAGAACTTGTATTAATGTTAGAAATTGTGATTTGAGCAAGCAAGGCAGAAGTCTATGTTATTTCAAATTATATGTGCTGCATCATTCCCTATACCTCTGCCAAGTTGGTTGCTAAGCTTCTAAGAATGCTACTGACAAGATGCATGGTCTCTGAGGCATCCATGGAGCAGGCATTTGTCAATTTTAAGATATAGAAAATACATACGCATAGCCCTGGAGAAAGACGAGAATGATCATAGCTGACATATGCTATGTTTTATTTTAAATTTATAATTCATATTTGTATATTATACATTTGCATGTCCTGTGGATACATCCACATATGCATATAAACTCCCTCATACATGCTCTCCAAACAAATGTAACCTTATATTCTTGCCCTAAAGAATAATAATAATTACCTATCCTTGTTAATCATTAATCTAATCCTTAAAAATAGATTCTTCATTAATTATCCCATACCTCTAGAAAAAAAAACACAAAATCTAGTGAACATTCAATCTTAACTAATTCTATTACATTGACAGAGATTCTACATTACAAATTAAGGATACTTCATGCAAGACAGCTTGTCTATCTAGATCTGTGAGGAGCAAAGTAAATTGCCAGTGTTGGAGAAGAGTAAAGGAAGAAAAGGTGCAATAGGCTCTTTGGGAAAGAGCCTTAAGTATGGTCCCATAGAAAATAAAAATCAATGCCTTGGGTTGAACTTTCAGATTTGGCCCTACTCTCAATTAAAATGAAAGATAAATTATTTCAATTTTATAAGTTCTAAAATACAAGTAACATGCTTGTTTCATAAAGAATTAAGAAAATGATTTCCACATAATTTATATACAAATATAAATTACAGTGCCATGCACTTTAATCTTATATATCTTTTCTCTACCAATATTATTCATTTATTCTTTGAATGGTCATTACAGAAATGAAGTATTATATTTCTGTTACTATTGAAACTGAGGCAGAAGAATAGAGCTCCCCTTAAAACTTAAACCAGGAACCTCACTTTGTTCATTCTCTACTTTATACTACAGTGTTACCAACTGAATATTTGTGCCCCCTCCCCCAAAATTCATGTTAAAACCCTAATTCTCAAAGTGATAGTATTTGGAGAGGGGGCCTTTGGAAAATAATTAGGTTTAGAAGAGGGGCCCTCACCAAGAACCAAATCCGAGAGCACCTGGATCTTGGACTTCCCAGTCTCCAGAACTGTGAGAAATATTTCTTGTTTAAGCCACCTAGTATTTTGTAATAGCAGCCTGAGCAAACTAAGACACATAAATACAAAAAGACTTCTGAGAACTGGCTTCCAAGCATACTTTCTAAAACATTCTTTGTGCAATGAGTAACATTAGATGGAACGCTAGTTGGAGATAACCTGGTCACCGCACTCTATAACCCTCCCACTCTACCACCACTCATACCAGGAGAAATGTCTTCATGATATAACATTCACCCCAGTTTCTAGATATTTTTAATCCCAAATATGTTTAACTCCAAAAGCTGATACAATAGCCATTACATTTTCACATATTATACTTACTTAAACGCCCATTATCCTATTTGAAACCACACTGGAATATGTGGTTTCAAATAGGATAATGGACGTTTAAGTGTTTATGAAATGAATACATTGCTTTTGCCTTTTCTGTTGATATTTTTGCTTAGGACATATCTAAGATACTCTTTTTCTTTCTCCATGAAAGTACATTTTTCACCTGAAAAATCCCGAGCATTATTTGAAGAGTAAGAATTTTCTCATTTACCTTTCTTCCTGTGACATTGTATCCATTAACTCATTTTCATTCAACAATTATATATTTAACAGGTATCATGCAGGCTCTGAGGATAGAGAGGTTAAAAAAAAAACACCTGCCTTTCACGGACCTTATATTCACTTTTATTTACTGAAACTTCTAGTGTTCTACCATCTTTAGAATGCTTTCTGCCCCTCTCAAGTTTGATACAGTTTAAAACGACAACAAAACTAAAATGTATACTTTCTTTTCAACTCTGTTCACTTAGGAACCTGTGACTGTCCATGGTAAGCATTTAAAGTGACTGGGACAGCTACCCAGAAGTAGATCTTCAGAGTCTTTTAAAGTCATCTCTCATACTCCCTTTTGCTTTTACACCCAAACGAAACTGAAATTGTACTACTTTTCTATAACATCACCCAGAAATACCCGTTTCAGTTTAAAATCTTGATATACACCTGTCTGCTGTACTGCTGTCTTTCTGTTCTGGACCTCTGCAGCATGCTACCTTTTCAAGATACTGAAAATATGAAAAGTATCTTTCCTTGTACCAGTATCCCTCAAAATTCTCTAGTGGCATTTTACTCTCCTTAGTTGGGCTCAGTCTTTAGTCAGTGTCTTTCTGGATGCATCACTTTGTGCATCTATTTCTACCTTTTTTCATGCCCATTGAAGAGGCATTTTTATAACTCACACAGAAATCAATTGTAATCATGGTGAGTCTTTAAGAAGTATTTACATTTAGTGAAAAACAGCTATAAAAATAACAAAAAGTCACACTAGTCCATGTTTAAAAGAAACTATCTTTCCTTCATTGTTCAATCTGAAAGGCTGTTCTCTAACCACATTTCCAATTTTTAAATCTGTTTCTGTCCTTGTTATTTTCTTATTTATCAATACAAATTAATTAAAAGATGAAATAAGAAATAAGAAATCGCATTAGAAGTGAGTTGACTAATTACATGAAATGGGATTGTGCTTCTTCATTCTTCTGGTTGTCTAATTACCTAATGGAACTAAACTCTAGCTAGATCTAAATATTAGGTGAGCTCAGTACTTTAGTAATTAAAACTATTCCAAAGTCATCATAATATTTTTAATCACTCTACCCATAGTTAATATATTCCCCATTCCTTTTAATAAACTTCAAAAATATTTCTGTAATTAGGTTAAATCAATATATTGGTATCATTAATCATTCAATACACAAAATGTGACTTCCTTATTTTTTAAAAAATTAAAATGACATATTTTACTACATTATATGGAGGTTTCTCAACTTATGATGGGGTTATGTCCCAATAAACCCATTACAAGTTGAAAATATTGTAAATTGAAATGAATATAATACATCTAACCCACTGAACAGCATAGCTTAGCCTAGCCTAACTTAAATGTGCTCAGAACATTTACATTAGCTTATAGTTGGCAAAATCAGCTAATACAAAACCTGTTTTATAATAAAGTGTTTAATATCTCATGTATTACATATCACTAGCCCAGGATAATAGCAACATTAAAATTTGAAGTACAGTCAAATTCAAAGTCAAACTCTGTACTTTTTACGCTGGGGTTGATAAATTACCACATTCCTTACCTTATATCTCCATTCTTGTTTTATCTCCTGATATTTATTTTCCATTCGAAGCTGGTATGACCATTGTTACCCAAATATACTAAACATACAGTCAAGAATTTCTGCCTTTCTTGTCTAGTTTTTCTACTTCTGCCATGAAGGCTTCTTGAACTATCTTCATTCCTCAGTACTCTGTCTTCTAAAGGCAATGGAGTAATTTTTAAGATGAGGATGACTGAAGGATGACATGGGGGTAGAAGTCACAATCACAGGGATGCATGTTTAATCTAGTTCCTAACCCACTGACAATTATAATGCCAAAGATCCATTTATCAGAACCATAAATGGTATTCTCAAAAACTCTAGGGTGGAAAAAACAAAAGACCTAGCATTGCTGTCTAATATTTATTGCTTATATGATACATCAGTATGTGGCCGTAGCACATTACATGCACCAACATGGTACATTACAAATATGATTTGATATTATACTGTTAAAAATAGTTTTTTAGGTATATGTCTTTCCTTTAGCAGATGATAAGCTTACTACAGAATGTGGCTGTTATATTTTTAGATCCAGTTCATTTGTTCACCAAATATTTATTGAGTATCTGTTACATATCATGAATTATTTTAAGTACTGAGGTTAAAATAATGAAGATAGTAGCAAAAGTCTCTGTTCTCATGAAGTTTACATTCTAGTGGGGAGACACAAATAAAAAAATAAATTCAGAAAACCAACACATATTAAGAAGGGATAAGTGCTCTAGAGAAAGATAAAGCAGGCTAAGGGAAAGAGGGAATGATGGGAATGCAGAGTGCTATTTTATATGGGTTGGTCAAGAAATCCTTATGTGATAAAAGTATCCGTTGGGCAGAAATCTGAAGAAAGAGAAGATTTATACTACTTGGGTACATGTATAATCTCTTCCTGCATAACATATTACCCTGAAATTCTGTAGCTCAAAGCAACAAACATTATCTCACAGCTTCAGTGGGTCAGGAATTCCAGAGTTGCTAAGCTAAGACAGGTCTGGCTCAGGGCTTCTCACAAGGTCATAAGCAAGCTGTGGACTGGGATTCTAGAGGCCAGAAAGAAGATTTAACAAGAAGGGCATACTTCCTCCTATTTTTGATTAGAAAAATTATAATGATTCTACCTACTATGATTCTAGAGAATAAACATAAAATTAAAGTAACATCTATTTGATCTAATTGGACCATATGACCTTTATGCCCATAAAAGAGGGCAAAAAGATTATTTCCATCTCTAGTTAAATTTCAAGATGGTTTTATTTGGAATTCAAGTAAGCTCTAGGTCAGGATAGTGGTTAGGAAAATTAGAACTATTTGATATCTTTAAATTTATGTAATGAAACAGACTATTCTGCAGGTGGATGAGGATAGCCCCAGATTTTAAAGCTATGCAACCCTAACATACATTTGTCTGTTAAGCTATCAGTGAACTTAGAACATCAGACAATTTCTTTTCCTAATTTAACTGTGGAAGAAATGGTGGTTTTGACTTTATTTCATGACTATATTTTAATTATCAAACTAAATAGGTGGTGCTTAATGTTATGAAATGCAAATTAGATGTTCTCCACAAAACAAAGTAACCTTAGAATGGGTAGCTTCCTGCAGCGCAAAATGGGTAGAGTTTCTATTTGGAAAATGCTGAAATAAAATATATATTCATTTATTAACTTTACAATAAACAGTCTCACCACAGAGAAACTATTTTGTGTTTTTACAACATGCTGCTGTTATTTTCATTCTTTGAAAACACAGCTATATTGGGTCAATCTTTTAATAAATGGGACGTTCTATGCATTATAATTTGTAATTATATTTTCCCAGGTTAGAGTTTTAATTCATTTACGAAGAAACCTTTTAGAAAGAAAAGAAAAGGAATTATGTATTCTAGGGAATTGATTCTAAATGTAGACAATATTCATTTTGAACACAGTAATGATTGTCAAGTGATGACAGTTGTAAGGATAGATCTCAAAAAGTTGGTAAGGAGATTCAAAGTTCTACTTAAGTCAGGCAACAATGTTCAGTTTTTAGAATGATTATAAAATCAAAAATTAATTTCGTCAAAGAACCACACTTGCCAGCACTGCATCGCACATGTTCTACATTAGCATAGGGAAGCAGTAATGGGTAACAGAAGGACAATGTGGTTGGTGAAACTTAGTGCTGCATTATGCAGAATGGGATTTTTCACTGTGGTCATTACTTCTTATGTAAGCACAACACCATGATCTCTTAGAGATTAAAACTTGGTGAAAATATTGGTAAGGTAGGCAAAATATATAAAATAACTCCTCTTTTCATAGAGAGAGCATTACTTTTTTGATTTGGGGTAGCAATACTGAAAATATTTATCACTTAATAACCTCAAAAAACAAAACCTTGAATTCTGAGATGTCTTTTTGCTCTGCTACCACTTCAAATATAAAAGCTACCATCTTCTCTCACCTAAAGTCTCCACTCAAACTCCCTTCCCATGAAGCTTTACACATCCTACTGATCTAAAACCTTATGTAGGAGCCACAGTCTTACCTGCATTTCCATTGCTACTTTCTTAAAATGGCCCATTAGCACTTCTCACAGGGACTACTCCAGCCTTCTGGATTATCCCCAGTCCATTCTCTATGTTTCTATCAGAGTGATCTTTCTAAAAACGTAAAACTGCCCATGGTAACTTCTGCTTACAGTCCTTCTTGTGCCCACCTTCAGTTGTGGGGCTGGCACTAAACAACCTCTCCCTTTGCTCCCTGTTTTGTCTCTCCAGCTTCAGCTGCTGTCAATTCTCCCACAGACCCTTCACTCTCCATGACCTAGGCTATCTGCAATTCGTAAATGCATCATTGTGACCTTTGGCCATGCTCATTTCTACCTCTCCTCACAAATTCAGCTTTAGTACCACATTTTCTAGCTGTTATTATTGCACTTATCACACAGCATTGTTACCAGTCATTAATTTAGGAGTCTACCACTCACACGGGTGCACATACTAATTGCCTTAAGTAGATTTCTATTTCAAGTATGCAGCTCAGCTCTTGGCACATATAGAATGTTATTGAGTCAACAAATTTATAGAATCCATTGGCGATTTTAGCTTTCCTAATAAAACTAAACACGAAAACTCTATATAACAAGATTTTCTAGTTGGTATGACAGAGGACTGTAGAACTGGAGTTTGTTTGATATTAGGAAGACCAGGCAGAAAGAATACATATTTCCACTGGAGGTGGGATGAATAGATGGTGAAATGCAAAATGGCAGAGGCTAGTAATGCTATAATTAGGGAAGGACAGAACCCAGTATTTAGGGTCTATGACAGCCAGCAAGCTAACTCCTGGATGCTCTCAGATTTAGTTGGATAATATGTAGTTCTGGTTTATTTGGGAAGGTGACAGGGGTGGCAGGGGGAAGGGTCACAGAGTAGAATAGCATCAAGCATTAGCAGAGAAGAGATTTTGACAGACTGACATAAACAAAGAAAAAATTGAGTGGAAAGTAAAATTGCTTCAAGTACATTTGAAGTGAGTGATGGGAATCCAATCAAAGATTTGAGATACCAGACCATAAATTCAATGGTAAGGAAAAATGATTACATTAAATTGAATCTTCATTTTCAAAAAATTAAGGCACTGGATCAGATAAGCCTCACGATAAGGCTACAGTTGCTGGTAGGGAGACTGAAAGTAGGAATGTGGTCAGAGGAAAGAAAGACAGCACAAAGGATTCAGAGGGTAAAGGAGGCAGGGCTCATCTGAAGCCAGATTACTTGACTAGACCATTCTGGTCCCACCACCTGGCACCCACCTGTAGGTGAACTGGGTAAGTCATTACAAAAACTAAAGATGGACTTGGTGGGATTAGCATATCAGTTAGAAAGCAGATTTTATTTTCCTGGTAGTAACATTCACTTCAAAAAAAATCTGTTGTTTATATTATTATTAAATTACTTCTTCTTGTAATATTCCAGGATTTAAATTTATTTTTCTGAGCACTAATCTCCAACAATGTATAATTTGAAGTTCTCAGCCTCTGGCTCAATTCTAGAAAAGGTCAAAAATCTTGCCAACAAATACAAAGATGAGTGTTTCTAATTGGTCTTTAGAAATTATATAAAGGTAATAAAGTAAAAGACTTTAAATTTAAAAACGTGTATCAATAACATACTGAGTTAACAAAATTCCTGAACACCAGCTATGAGCAAATGATTTACAAGGCTGCAGGCATCTCTGATGGTCTATGACAAACCTGGGCAAAGATTCTGTGTTTTGTTGTGGTCATTTTATCTTTGATTTACAATACCTTGCACAGTGACTGGCATAATAAATGATCAATCAATGTTTGTGGAAAAAATTGATTAAGTGAATAAAGAGTTAATGTAAGTTACATTATATAGTACAGTGATGCAAAAATAATAAAAATATGCTGTGTTTGCAACTTACGTAAAATAAAGTTGAATTCACCCAAATATCTAACTCTTAAAAGATAAATGCAAGTAGCTGGTAGCTGATTTAAGCACCAGTAACAGAAGTGAACACCTAAAAAGTAAATTTTATCACAGGTAGGAACATGTGAATGACCCTGATTACTTGTCAATAGGAAAAGATGTTGAGTGCAGGCATTTTCTCTTTCTACTTTGGATCAGCAATCAGATTCACTCACAGATCATTGATTCATGAACAGCACTATATACGTACTTTGAATTTTCAAGTAGCCAGTGTTTCATAAGTGTTTATATTACAAGTACACCCTCAGCCAACTCTTTTTCTCTGGTATAGTGTTCTCATGATTTTTAGCCAGACAAGACTCAAGAGTTCCCTTTATGATTTGTATTCTTTTGTCAATACATTTCTTAAATTAAGAAAAAATATTTCTTCATTTCCAGTGATCTAGGATTATTTTTGGTTATTTGGATGGCTAATACGTGCTCACGAAGTCAAATGTATTCCTTTTACACAAAGAACAAACATTAGTTTTATTTTTAACTGAATATGTAAACGACTTGATATAAACCAATTATGAAGTGCCTACGTGGATTTCTGTGCCTTCATTTATTTCTCATTAGAAGTTTGATAACAAAATGTCCACAAAATCACGTTTCAAATGGAAACTTGTTTAAGTTTTGGATATTCATCTGATTACAAATGTGCAGAAATTAAAATGGTTGTAACAATTTGACTTAGTTCCTAAAAATCACATGGCTCACAATTTTCTGAAAGATGGGGATGTTAGATAATATGAGACTTTACTGTTGAAAAGATAAAGAAAATGGCAAACTGAACATTCAATTTACTCTGGAATACTTGATAAGGAACAATTCGGGAATTAAAAGGTCAAAAAGGCTTCATGTGTTCTAACTATTCTGCTTTTATTTCATCAAAGCTTCTTATTTTTCAATCATTCATATGAAATTATTCATAACTGATTTACTGCATTGGACAGGAGTTATTTTCTCATCCTATTTCTGACAAATATCTTCAAAGCTCTTATAACATAGATACCAAGAGAGGACGTGAAATGAAATGGGACTAGAGGGGGGAAAAAGGCCAATGCTCTTAAGTCAAACTGCACAGAGAGGTGAATGGTTCAGTGCATGAATATCTCAAAAATGCCCTTAGAATTTTGCTCTTAACTACAAGTCTATCTGCAGGCTTTGTCCAAATGAAAAACTAACAAACCAAAGGAAACCAAACTAAACTAAACAAAAATAAAACTCTCCTGACAGAAATTCTCCAATGAATGTATCTTTGAAATGAACCACTTTATTAGCTGCTAAGCAACCTTCTGGCTCCTTTTTCTTTAACTCTTACAGTAAAAGAAAAACTACCCCCCAACCCTGCCTACCTAGTTTCTCATATCTCAGTTTCAGTTACCCGTGTTTCAATTACCCACCATCAAACTCGTCCAAAAATAGGTAAGTACAGTATAATAAGGTATTTTGAGAGAGAACATAATCACCTTTTATTAAAATACATAGTTGTTCTATTTTATTATTAGTTATTGATTGTTGTGAATCTCTTACTGTGCCTAATTTATAAATTAAACTTTATCATAGGTTTGCATATATAGAAAAAAACATAGTACAGTCTGTATAGGGTTTGTTATCATCTCTGGTTTTAGGCATACTTGGGCATCTTGGGATGTACATACCTGTGGATAAGGCAGAACTACTGTAGTTTTCTCCTCTTACCTGATAGGAGCACCTTTGGCTTGTGCTGGTCTCAACAATACAGTTATTGTGGTGGCAGTTTCATTGAGAGAGGCATCAACTCCTTCATAGTCAGGTAAAGTTGGAGCTGATGAGTGATTAATGAGATAAAAAAGGTTCAATTAATTTACAGTAATATATCACAGGTCAGAATGAACAGACAATCTTAAGTTAGGAAAAAAAAATTCACCTAATTATCTACAACGTATTTTGTTTTATAGCATAACATCTCCAAATGAATTTCAACTCTGGGAACTTAAAATATCAAAAGCTAGAAAACCAAGATTTGCTGTGGAAATTTAAATAATCGTCTGGCAATTTATGACACACATTCCAAATATTTTGTGAAGATGCTTTCCTTTTAGTTTCCTGAGACCTTCAAGTGAGTAATGATGGGAGGGAGGGAAGGTAGTAACTGAGAAGACTGGGCAGTAGTGCTTATGGAGTCACATATGGCGATCAGGAGCTATGAACAGCAAGAGCTGAGGTCAAGGGCTACCTGGTGAAACAGTGTCGTTTATGATCTTATAGTGTAGAAAGACACAGTACTCTTATGCTAATGTGTTTTTCACAACTCTGGTCACAAGAGAAACATACCAAGAAGTGTGGTAAATGATAATGGACATCTTAGCTTTTGTTCATCAGGGACATTAGTTGCCAGATTCTTAAAAAGAATAAATTTATAATTTTTTTAAATATTTGATAATGCTTAATTAGGGACTAGGATCTTGAGGGGGAAAAAGAGTTACCTCAAATAGCTTTGGATGACTTTCATGTAGAAAGCTGTTTAAGGAGTATATACTCAATGAAATGTGTGCATTATCTCTATCCATTCGTTGAACATTTACTGAATATATACTATGTGCCAAGTTTTATGAGAAATGCTATGAATATAAAGACAAAGCATGGTCTCTGATATTTAGAATTAAAAGTAGGAATTCACATTTTATGAAAAGTAAGAGTCTTACAAACAAAAAATTATAGCAAAATGTTAGTGGCCAAAAGTGGAAGACCATTTGCCAAAACAGTGGTTCTCAAACTTGTAAGATCAGAATCACCTGGAGGGCTTTCTAACACACAGATTATAGCCCCTCTACCCTAGAGTTTCTGATTCAGTATTTCTGGGGAGGGACCTGACAATGTTTATTTCTAGACAGTTCTCAGGTGATGTTGGTGATGATGGTCTGGGGGTGGGGGGTCACACTTTTTTCATTAGTATTGGCAGTGGGGGGATGAAACCAGAAGGCTCAGGGTGTCTAATGATGTTTAAGCCAAATATTAAAAAAAGGGTAAAAACTCATCAGGAAGAGAAAGGATGAACTAAAATTCTGAGAAAGGAAGCAGAATATCTGAAGATAACAAAATATGAAAGGGCATGGTACGTTTTAACAGCTATAAGCCGTTGGCTGTGCCGGGAACTTTGGGCTCATGGGGAGAAGTAGAGGATGGGAGGAGTCATGCAAAGAAGGACCCTGAATGCCAACACCAAGTGGATCTTTAGACTTCATCCCGCTGATTATAAGATACAAGATTGCGAAAATATTTAAGAAGGAAATATCTGTGGATTAAAGATAGATATAGAAATGCAGTGAAGATGGGTAAGTCTGAAGGTAGGGATACCACTTAGAAAGATATTTCAATAATCTGTTTAAAATACTGTCTAGATGGAAGAAAAGGAGCAGTGACATTAGAAGATTAATTATTATCTGAGAGTTTTTTAGGAAGCAGAAACAACAAATATTAATTTAATACATGCACAATATGTAGTATGTATGTGTGTATATGTGTGTATGTGAATGTATGTGTATGTATAAATAATTCCCCCAACAGTTATGCCTGCAATAACTTGATTTCACTGTTATTTAAATTATTTTTTTAAATGCTGAGAAATGTAATTACCGGACTCAGGGAATAAATTTGACAATAAATTATCTGAAAAGTTCAAGTAATGATGAGAACCACACTAACCATAAATTTATTAATCTTAGATGTGATTAATAATTGTTCTTAACATAAAGTGATTGCAACCAAGTTTTTAAAGTACAATCAAGTACTCATTGCACTTAGGTTAATACAAGTAAAAGTGAAGTTGAATAATTAAAAGAAAAAATCAGATGGATGTTCTGGTCTTTTTTATAAACTTTATGTTCAACACAAACACAGTATCTGAGCCTTGAGAGACATACACACACACACACACAAACATTTATGGCTCTCAAAAATTTACATTTGTTCAATGTTCTCAGTTTTGTTAGTTTATATAAATTTTGTAGCTGTCTCTATTGAAAGATCTTACTCAATTATAGCACTGCTGCTAATTCCAGAGGGTAGAAAACCTATCTCAGTGCATCGTAACATCACCAAGTCTTATTTTCTGGTAAAGTGATTCAATACATATTTTAAATTCATGATTTGTAATTGTTCTCAGGAAAGAAAACTGCAATTTTAAAACATTGTTATTTTATAATATAATGGATGATACTTTAATTTTTTATTGGAATATTAAGATAAATCAAATGCTCTTCCAAGGAATTATAGCTCATAATGGAATAGCTAATTTTATTCATGATACAAATTTTTAAAGTTTGTATTATACTCAACACGTTTGCAAGTAACATTTTAGACTCAAAATAATTTGGAAAGTACATGTCTTCCTTTTAATGCAAATGGTATAGATTAAAAAAATGAAAGACATATTTTATGGGTATTAATGATGTATCATTAATATTTGCCATGTGGAACTATAATAAAAATGAACACAAATGAACAAAAAGAATTAACAAAGTCAAAATTTGTGCTTTACTACATTGTGTGGTTGACCTTTAAATAATTTATTTTTCAAATTTAACTCTTCATTTACATATACAATATGTATTTATTTTAGTAATCTTAAATAAGAAAAAACATTATATAAACTTTAGTAGATTTAGGGCATACTACAAAGCTAACTCCTTGCAAGAATTTAATCAGGTTTAACTGATGATCTGACTGAAGGAGAAATAAGCTCTGTAAACAATCTAGTCAAATACAAACTGTGCAACTGTGACTACAATAGAATGTAAAGTTTAATTTCTTTATCAACCTAAAATTCTTCTGTACGTTCCCATTTTAAAACTTATATGTATTTATATAAGATTTTTAAGTGTGAAAGAAAAGCCCATCTTTGTTTAAAATTATCATAATGTCAGGGAAAATGAAACAGAAACAAGGTATGTAGTACTATAATACTAGAGAAAGGATCTTCTACCATTTTTTTGATAACATTCATTTAGAGTAAAGGTCTGACACCATAATAATTATCAACTCTTCAAAAGTATCATAAGATCTATTAGGATTTATAATGAATTTTGAAAGATTTTTAATAAAGATTTAGTATAATTTTTTTAAGACCACTGTCAATCAAAAGTGACTATTTCAGATGTGTTTTGGTTTGGACATATAATTCATATTCAAATAATTATTTAAAGTGCTTTCATTTATGCATAACTATATTAAAGGTTCAACAAGCAAGATGAACTACACTTGGTTTATATGTGATTCTCCAGGATGTGCCATTACAAACCAATGGCATAATCAATCCTATTTGTAATTTATTCATTTGCATACCTGAGATATTGGTGGTGACATTGATGGCTGTGGCTGGACCAAAGCCTTTGACCGTGCTGGCTCTTATGAAAAACTGGTACGTGGTTCCAGGGTGGAGATGCATAAAGACATGGTGTGTACTGTTCCATAAATTTGATACAGTCTGGGGAGGTCCAGCCACTGGAACTGCAGGATCAAATGATCTTATACTGCTATAGCTGATCTGTTTTAAGAAATACATTTATTACATATCTAGTATCCATCATAAGAAACTGTAAATAAACTCTGTATAAATAAGGTAGTATGCAAGGGCATCCATGTGGAGTCAATGGTAATTTTTTTCTTCTTTTCTTTCTCATGTTGATATTGTTATTTCTGTCATTCTGAAGTTCTGTCTATATGTCAATCAATCATCTATCTACAGATACACCGGAGTTATAGCTGACCAAATCAATATACATCTATTTTCTTCCATCAAAAAAACCACAATAAATTATGCGTACATAAAAAATCTTATAGCCATATACTTTAATGCATATGAAACACAGAAAGTGTTTCAACAAATTTTTATTATTATTAACATATTCTGTACTTTGTTCAAGTTATATAACAAATTTCATGTAAATAGTATTCAAATATGTGAACACAGTTTCAAAATATAACATTGTACTAGTGATTCTCATTTCCATAATTCACTCTGTAGCCATTAGAAATTTAAGCATTTATGATCTAATCAACGCTATGTAGGAACAGAACTACACATTTGTGTAACTTAAATGATTCTTTCATTTCTTCTTTTTTAGTTTCTCATATTTGAAAAGATAATGTTTTATATTCAAAGTTGAAATGAAGCTCTAGAAAAGTCAGCTTTATAATCTATTTTGCTTTTTGGGTATTATTCCTTACTCTGAAACAACTGAAATTCAATGGCTTCTCCTAAATCACAGTATGATAGGAGTTTCTTAAATTTATAAAAAGGAAAATGAGGGTTTTTTAATATGTGATTATTACTATAACCATCGTAAATCTGATAATGACTATCCTGCTTCCCTAAATCAACAAAACAGCAACAAAAAACATGCATTTTTTAAGAATTTGAAAATTCTAGATGCCATACAAAATATTTATTTTGACGCTTAATTTTGGAATCAAAGAATCTGTAAATTAAAACAAAGGAGAATGATTTTAATCCCCTAATCCTCATTTACGTCTTTTCCATATTTCCCTCTAACTTTTCCTTTCTTCTTCCTTTTAGTCCTTCAATCCACATTTCAATTAACTTCCTTGTTCTCCCAATACCTCATATTGAGTGATGATTCCATTTGGATCCAAAGGTTCTTTCCAGTTCAAGAAGATCTTATTTTCAAAGGATGTTCCTTGAAGAGATTTTACTGGTACGGGACCAGGCACTACAAAACACATGAATTTTTTGTTATGAAAATGCTTACATTAGAAACAGAAAAAGTAAATCAGATAAGCTAGATAAACAGGATTAAAAATAAATATAAAGAAAAATAAATAAAAATGTGTCCTTAAAAACAAAATAAACTATATGACTAGTTCTCTGATTTTACTTCGATATATGAGAATTTAAAGCAAGTCTATAAGGTTCTGATGCAGAAAATGTAGAAATGCAAAGTTATTTTTATTCAAAAGAATATTCTATCACCTTAGAGAGATGCATAAATTATGTAGTCTAGTTTCCTCTGTTGTATACCTCTAATAACGTGAGGATCTTATTTGTAATTTGTTTCAAGAACAGAGCTGTATTTCCCCAAAGATTTTTTTGAAGATTATGCAAATCCCCCAAAGAGTCTCCATAAACAAAGTTGATAAATAATAAATTACGATAATAATTAACACTCTTTGGTCTGGAAAGCCGAATCACATAGCAAAATGAATTGAAATGTCCATTAATAGCCAACCTTACTTTTATAGCTATATGTATTAAATGTTCTGTAATTTTAAAAAGGCAGTGTTGATTATTACCATATTTAAAGAGTTATTACAGATGGATAGGTTCAAATGTCACTGCTTCAGCCTTTTAAAGGAAATTCACTTATTCAAAGGTAAGAATCAAACTAGTTTATAATGTCAGACTTGTTTAGAACTCAACGATCTGCACAACTACTTTGGAAGTGTCCTCAGCTATGACCATATTTGAAGAGCCTTTGCTTCAGTCCTTATTTGCAAATGTCATATAACTGGTCATACACAATGACAACACTGAATGATGCACCAGCTTCTATTGACAAAATACCAGATAAAAAATTCTTTCGCTATCGTGTATTTTCCTTTTATATATTTTATTTAAATACTTAGCTGCTATTTATTCACATGAATATCCAATTTCTAGTTCTGATAATATTTTAAAATATATAGTATCTATCCTACTTGGCTAAAAAATGTGTTTCTTTTTGAAAATATCAACTGAATATTGGGCAAGCATAGTTTTTAATTAATATTTTCCCTTAATCTAACGTTTCAGTGAACTTCACACATGACATTATCCAGAAATGTAGTTTCAAAGTATATAGCAATTTTGTGAGGATTGAAATAAATTAAAAATCACTGGATCAAGGGAAATACATTGCATTGTGGCTAGGAGCATCAAGAAATTCTGAATGATATCTCACGAGAGCAGGATTTATTTCAATCTACAAGGAGACTATGAATGATACTATGACCTCTGAGACAGGCAACATAATTTGATACATTGAGGAAAGAAACCCACAATAAACAGAAAATATGCCAGCACTAAACTTTAGAAGATATGTTCAAGCCATTGTCAGCCGAAGACTATGAGAGAAGTTAACTGAATGCATCCGCTCTCTCCCTGCTCCACAGTACCAGCAAGGCTGTGCAGCTGATCCAGACAGAGGGCCAGTGAGAGCCCCTCTGCACATCTGTGTCTATTGCTAAGGCTGCCATGGGCATTGGTTTGTCTTGCAAGAGTACCTGTTGTTTCCATTATATGCAAATGACATACACTTATGATTATATTGAAGGAAAAGATATTTCTTCATCCTTACGTATCTCTCATAGAAGGTGGCTAATGGGGGAAAAAGGGAGCAAAATATCCAATTAATGAATAAATGTTGATTTGATGGCATTGTAATTATAATAACTGCCTATGTTTACCTAACACAATTTAGCCTACAAATACCATAAAATGGCATAGATTTATTTTATCGAACATCGTTCAATAATAGGGATGGTTTAAAATATTTGTATAATTCTACATTGAAAAAGGAGTAGAATTGGGAAGTACCTTCCCTAGAAGTTTTGTATTTCTATGCTCTTACAGTTTTTCTGTTTTGACAATAGAATTCACTACAAGTACCTATAGATTGCATTTGTAAGACAAAAGTTTGTGGCAAAGTTGTGGACAAGAGAGTGTCATACTACTTGTCGTGTACTTGGATGATCATAGATGAGAGAAGGAACTATACTTAGATGAACTAAAAGACACACACAAACAGGTGAGGTGAGGTGTGAGCACAAACAAAGTAGATTCAATAACTTTCTACATTTGAAGGAAGATCATGTGTACAATTATAGACAGAAAATGTCTCTCTGTACCTATGATTTGTGTAAATACTATATGAAGTTACTAAAACCATTATCATGGCAGTCTACTGATTGCAGGGAATGTCACTTCACATTTCCACATCAACAACTTTTAATGGAAACAGAATGCTGACTTTTGTTCCCTTGCCTGAGACTTATATGACAGCTATTTCAGCTACTTTTTTTGAAAGTCCTTTATAATATAACTCTCAAAATGGAAAAGAGAGTGGAAATAAAATATGGGTGGGGCAAGATTATATTAGATAAGCATTATAGCCTTTAAAATGTAATAAATGTACTTTCAAAAATAGCTTTGTAGTCTCAAAAATATGTCCCCAAACCAGGCTTTTCTGCTGAGCTAACTTTATAATATTGATTTTTTGAATGCTGGAATAAAAAATGAAAACAAAACCTCATACAGAAAATTCTGTTCGTCCATTAAAAAGTGTATGCAATAAATTAAATAGAAATTCTACCTTAGGGTTCTGGCGGGAAATGGTTCTAGCTTTGCTCTCATGATTTATGGATGTCCCAGAATTCTTTTTATAAAATTATGTCCTTTTATTAGGTGGCTGATAATTTATTCTTTTTCTATGTATACAGGGCAGCAATAATTTAGTAACACTGACTTAATCAGATCATCATAATCCATCGATCTTTCCAACAACAGATTATGATTTAGATATTCTTTCCCTGCTCAGGAACATTAAGACACATCAAGTATTCTATGTACAAAGTGAAGCTCACATGCTGATTTGAAGACAGAGTTACTTGCAAATACTTCATGGAAGAGTTTACGTATCAATCATTAAATATTATATATTAAACAAAAAGAAAAAATTACGCTCATAGTAGAAGGGATTAGTTTGTGACAATACTATGAAATAATAATACGAAACTTAATATAATTAAAACTGGAAAAATTATTCAAAACAGAGATTAAAATAAAACTAGGATTGAAAATGATATTAAAATTAGAATTTAAAATATTTCAAAAAATAGTTAATGTCATTGTATTTTTACAAAACTATTTTAGATAAGATAAATAGTACAGTCATGAGTTTGATCAATGTAGGGCATAATTTAAAATTCCAAAGCAACTCATTCCTTGATTATTAGTCTAGTCATATTTATACTGAAAAATGCATTTAAAAATTTAATGCAATATGAAAAAGATTATATAAGCCTGGCTGCATTCTTTTGTTTGTGGGAAAGAAGGGCAAACTAACAAACCATATCCAAAAATACCATCAAAATGAATTCTATTACTAGAGAGTGACTGGCTAAAGCAGCACAAAACTATGTAACTGAGTCTACCATTACCAATTAGGACATGATTTTTTTTTTAAGGGTAGGCAATAAAACATGTGAATATACTTTAATAACTGAACACATGGGCTACAAAGTGCCTAGTGTGACACAGACCTTATAACATTTATCCCATTTTAAAAGAAAAGATAGAAATTTTTTGGAGCTATTGAATCTGTAGTTAGACTTCTCATTTTTATTATGTGCCTATGAAACAATTACCCCTAATCATTCTTTCTTGCATAAATATGCATTGAGTTGTGTGTGTGTGTGGCAGGGGTAAGATATAAGGATATTTGTGTGTTTATTAATTAGGAAAGGGGGTGTTGTTTAAATGTTGTTGCTACTTCAATTAGGTGCCAGTTCAAACATGATAGCTAAAGTAATCATGTTTGGTTACCTCAAACATGACAAAAGCACATTCATCATAAATAAGTCTTAAATAAGTCTTAGGTTTATTCTCAGAAATTTTAGGAACATGAGTAACTCCATGTATAGTTTCCGAACTATATTGCTTCCTTCAAATTTTGAGCTAAATGTGGTTAAAGGGCTCTCACTTCTCTTATTACAACAAAAACAGCAAGGCACATGAAATGATGGTCATTTCCACTTTCAGAGTGGGAGAGTTTGAAATTATAAGTATTTGTAAAAACTATGGCATAATAACCTCTTTTATGGCAAGCTAATAGAAGGTAGGCACCAAAAGACACACCTGATCTAAAATTCAGAACTTAAGGGAACTTGGGAATACGTGGTTATAAAAAACATTCTGTTTTATGAAACTCAAATAAAAATGTAGCCCCGCTGGGCACAGTGGCTCACGCCTGTAACCCTAGCACTTTGGGAGGCGGAGGCGGGTGGATCACTCGATGTCAGGAGTTCAAGAGCAGCCTGGCTAAGATGGGGAAACCCCATCTCTATTAAAAATACAAAAGTTAGCAGGGCATGGTGGCAGGTGCCTGTAATCCCAGCTACTTGGGAGGCTGAGGCAGGAGAATCGCTTGAACCTGGGAGGTGGAGGCTGCAGTGAGCCGAGTCGAGCCACTGCACTCCAGCCTGTATGACAGAGTAAGACTGTTTCAAAAAAAAAAAAGAAAAGAAAAGAAAAAAAATGTAGCCCTACTGTCAAGCTACTTAAGAAGAAGTTTAGAAGGGGGTGGAACCTCAGAGATCACTTAATTTAAGCCCTTCATTGAAAGATAAGAACTGACTCCTAATTTAGCTTTGCCTCAGTTCACCATATGGCACACTTTTTTTCTACATGCCTTAATTCATAAAAGGAAATTTTGAAAGGAAATATCTTACATCCAAAGAGTGACTTATTGTTATTAGATTATCATTTGCAGATATTTTTATATGTTTTTGCTAAATTAGGAAATATATTATCAATCAAATTATAATATACTGTAGTGCTATAACAGGTATGTGAACATTAAAATACTAATATAAATATTTGTTCATATTATTTATCAAGAAGTAACACACAGAAATTAGACAAAGTACAGTTTAGTTACTTGGATGGCAACAAGATACATAAAGAACAGCTTGCTAATGTCTAATAAAGGCCATTATATTAGACTTACAGATATGAACTGTTGCTTGCTTTTATATTTAGACTCACATAAAACCATCTAAAATGAATAGAAAGGGTAAGCAGTATAAACAGTGTTGTTTCCTTTTTTCCTTGAGACGGAGTTTTGCTCTTGTTGCCCAGGCTGGAGTGCAATGGTGCGATCTCAGCTCTCTGTAACCTCTGTCCCTGGGTTCAAGTGATTCTCCTGCCTTGACCTCCCGAATAGCTGAGATTGGCAGGCACCCGCCACCACACCCAGTTAATTTTTGGAATTTTTAATAGAGACAGGGTTTCATCACGTTGGCCAGGCTGGTCTTGAACTCTTGACCTCAGGTGATCCACCTGCCTCGGCCTCCCAAAGTGCTGGGATTACAGGCATGAACCACTACACCCGGCCCAACAGTGTTGTTTTCAAATGTGAGAAAAATAAAAACAGCTACTATTGGTTTATAAAATACAAAAACCCTAAGTTTTTTATCAAGTGCATTTTACCAATAGGCAATTGATATAGTGCCATGGAGAGTAAAAATTATTTTTGAACATTTGATTTAAAAAACCCCTTCATTTAAGTTTTTAGTGTAGTTGCCACTTCTGTGTAAGAAGAGAGGACAACAGAAGCACATTTCATTTAGTATTTGGATGCTTGTCTGAAGAATATTAGGTTTTGTAAAAGGCAATTTTTTTCCAAAGTTAATCTCATTAATAACATTTAGATGATTTCAGAATCCAATTCAGTATTGGACAATCTTAGGAAAATCTTAAAGTAATCACATTTTTCTTGTTAGAGAATTCCCCCCTTTTAAACAGCAAAGTATGAGCATACCATCTTCATCAGTTTGAATAATTGTCTCTTCACTCTCCTTCCTTCCCTCTGGATTGGTTAGGATCATCTTGAGGCTGACATTTGTATAAGGTGGCAGATGGTTCACAACATGCTGAGGGGCTTTGGGGTCCATGTCCAAACAGTCTGCCTTGCTCTCGTTGTGACCACGGAAGTAATGGTAGCAGATAGTGACATTAAAAGTGTGGCAACGCGTAATGTTGTAACCCAAGGATTCCCAGTCCACAGCAATCCGTCTTGCCTGTATTTCAGCAATCTTTAATGTCTTTGGGGTTCTCATAGGTTCTGAAAAATAAATCAGAGTTGTAGACAGCTGTCTATTATATCATGAATAATCCTGGAAAAATAAAACACCAAGTATAATATAGCATATGCAAATCTAGAAAATGTGGAAGTCATGTTTTATTTTCCTTTGCTTTATTTATTCATGATCCTATTCTTGAAGGTTTCAATCAGGGACTAAGATTTAACAACAGGAAAAGAAAAGAAATATAAAATGTCAACAACCCACGGTACTCAGGAACTTGGCAGAAAAATAAAAACCTGAAAATGTAGCCGCCATGCATTTATAGTTGTTGCTGTTGTTACTGCCCAATTCTCTGCCTTTCTTTTGTCTTTATTGAGCAAGTGAATCAGCTAATATATCAAAATGGATAAGACTCAACATATTCTACTCTGTCATTTATCATGTCACTAAGCTATGCTGTATACGAATTATTCTAATTGTAACAATAATATACTACCATTTACAAGAAATGACACAGATATTAATTAACATTAATTATTTCTATAATGATGTTGTTCATCAAAGCAAAAAACAATGGAGAAAAATTACAAGAACATATGTAGATATTCACATTGTCTTCTTTCCTTATTGATCTCTGTCTTTTTCTAGAAAACATTCAGGTCTAACAATCCTTTCATTGTCACCCAAACCAAACTGGGAGGTGAATTTTCCATTCAACTGGAAAATACTGGCAGAACTAAAGACTCCAAAGACTAGAATCCATCCTTCACTGCTTCCCAAGTGTATTCTTTCCTCATTCAAGACTAACTTGAATCATCTAACTTAATCAACGTAACTACTCTATGAAACTCATGGCCATGGCAACATCTACAGAGTAAAAAAACTAACACACAACAAAAACTTTAATTCATTGATTTGATAAAAAGAAAAAAGTCAAGGGATTTCCGATGCCTCTCTTAACTCATTAAAGATAGTCAAATTCTTGCTAAATGGAAATCAGTAGGGAAAATAATACAAAAAGTCTGACTTGGGGGCTTTCATAAATTTTTGTTTTTGAGATTAAAATCACAGTTCTGTAAAAACAATCAGCATGCTAAACAGATGGCAAGCCCAAACTGGGATTCTAGTTCAATATATTTAATGTGCAATCTGAAATGAACTCTGGTGGCCATTTAATTTAAAATCTTAGATTACAAAAATCTACATATGTGCAAATTTATCTTCGGTAGAATCTAATGCTTAGGTTTTAAATGTTATTTGCCAGTCTTATGACTATTCACAGCATCCAGACTCCCAACTTCACCACTTTCATTTCAGACGTTACCTGAAGTCCACAGGTTGGAAGAAAGACGAGGCTTTCTAATTATTTTAAAAATCGTTTTATATGTTTAGCTCTATGCTAAGATTTTCCCCACCAGACACAAGAGTAAAGTGATGATACTTTCAATTTAGTCCAGTTAGACCGAAAACACAGTCTTTGCTATGACTGCCCACCAGCTAACCAGGCAATGAGAACTAGGATCATCCTAAAAATTCCCAGATAAACTGTGATTTTGCTGCCTCCTAGGTAGCAACTGGATACTGTTTGGTAGCCATGGCAAGATTCAGCCATATCTTGTTCTAAAATTATACAGAATGAGAAAGTAAGATTTCCCATGAAAATACCTAGAGTATATGAGCAAACAATGCCTATACAGCAATGAGAGAAACACCACAAATATTTAACCCGCTAATTCTTTAATTTTTTATTTTTTTTAGGTCTAGCACTTATACACTTGTTTTAACACACCCCTCATTTTAAATCTGACATTTTCCCCTTGTATAAATTTCTCTATTTCTAAGTCATCACTCTCTCACGCCAGTTCTTTTCATTTTGTCTATTTAGTCCGCACTTACTCTGCATTTTAACACTATTTTGAAAGCATACCTAGACATCTTACACACTGTAAAGAAGACAGAGTAGCTCTGCATCCTCAATTCTTACATATCTAAGAGTGGGCAAATGATTTATTTATTATCTGTTATGCAGAAAATGGATAGGATTTACTTTAAGTGATAATTTTGTTTTGGTGTCTTTAAATGCTGCTTACTTTGGCACTCATTGTATTAAAAACTCATTTAAAATTGGGATAGAGTAGCTTTATTAGTCCTACACAATGTATATAAAGCACAATCATAATTTCAGTGACCAATACTTTATTAACTGATATGGAAAAACAAAGAGTTGTGGAAAGAAATAGCTTTCTAAGAATTGACAAAGTCAATATGTTATTTGAAATTGACATTTTTTTCCACAGTTTGAATGTATGCTTTAAAGGGCCCTGATGTTGATAAAATAGTGACTTAGACATAATTTTGCACTCACTTTAGGATAGTACTCAGAAACATATGAACAACCAAAGTAAACACACACACACAGACTAAAAATCAAAACTTGATTGTTTTGAGCTGCGTGGAATTAATAACTCAGAGGGAGTTACTGTATAACTGTATTTTTTTCTTAATTGGCATGCACCTTAAATTTTTTCAGTTTTTACTGAGGTGGGAACTTCTCAGGGTTGTGTGTATAGATACACACATATACATATACACATATGCAGTACATACATGTACATCTATATGTGTGTATATACACATACATGTGAAAGGTGCTATAGCATACAAACTTCTCTGAATACTATTCACTTAGACATGGGCTGATAACTATATGCACATGCATTTTTATATTAGAATATTTATAAACAGCAGTGATTTGAGATGGTTCTACTACTATAAAATCCATTCAAAGAAATTTTTCTCAAAGATTCCAACAATAAAGTTGCCTAAATTATTGACCTTAATCCATTATTTCTCATACCTAACCAACAACTGCATTGTATTTCTGAGGTATAAATACATAAATAAAAATTTAACATTTAAAATCAAAATAATTACTTGAATTGCCATAGAATAACCGAAAGCAAAAAGATATTGTTTGGAAACCACTGATATTTATGAGCTGGCCATAAGAGCTACTATAAGTATTAAATAACTTCAAGATATAACCTACAGGGTCAGTGACTCAGAGGTATGATAGTAAATCGTATTTATAACAAATAAAAAACCATAATGGTGGTGAAACAATGGAGAACACATTCATGAATTCATTATCTGTCAATCGTTTTGGAATATGATATATGTTCTTGCTCCTCCTCAATTTCCGATTTTCTTTTTTCAAATCTTTATTGGGTATTCCATATATTGTAATTTTATATAACATTTCTTTTTTTGTTGTTTTTTGCATTTCTAGTAAAAAGAAAGAATTGGAAAAGGCTGTAGTCAAAAATTTTATCAGAAACTTGGAAGGAAACAAAGTGATGCTGGGCATGGTGGCTCACCCCCATAATCCTAGCAGTTTGGGAGGCCATGGTGGGCAGATGGCCTGAGCTCAGGAGCTCGAGACCAGCATGAGCAACATGGTGAAACCCCATCTCTACTAAAAATACAAAAAATTAGCCAGGTGTAGTGGTGGATGCCTGTAGTCCTGGTTACTGGGGAGGCTGGGGCAGAAGAATCACTTGAACCCTGGAGGCAGAGTTTGCAGTGAGCCGAGATCGCACCACTGCACTCCAGCCTGGGTGACAGAGCAAGAGACTCTCTCTCAAAAAAAAAAAAAAAAAAAAAAAAAAACGAAAAAACAAAAAAACAAAACAAAACAAAAAACAAAAAAGGAAAAAAGAAACACAGTAATCGAGTGATCTTCATGCAATGAGTGGTTATATTTCAATGTTTAGATCAAGTCATCCATCTATAATGAAACATAAAGAAATTTTATTACTATATACAGTGTACTATCCTAAGTATTCCAGAAGGTACTAAAGTGAATAAAGCATAATCTTAGACCTCAAGGAGCTTCCATTTGTTTATCAAAGATGTTAAGCTAAGAAAAAAAATAAACAATATATTTACAAGTGGTATATAAGTAGAAAAAAATGCTATAGGAATTCAAGAGGGAGAAATAACTTCCACCTTTCAAATGGAGTAGACATTTGTGTTAGGTCTCAATGGATAGAAGCAAGATCTTTAGACCTCATTTAGATAAATAATACAAAAAATGGAAGAAACGAGTTGAATAAAAACGTAGAACACAGTTGGAGAAAATTTGCAATCCCACTTGGTTGCTGTACAAGTATCATATAGGAGATAATACAGGAAAGGTTGGTTGGGAAAAGATGAGGCAAACTTTAGATGTCATGGTAAGAGGCTGAACTTACCTGATAGGCCATGAGAAGTCATTGAGGGTTTCTGAGCAGGAAGTTAACATAGTAAAATAACATTAATAAGATTAATTTGGAGGCTGTGTCAATTGTGGAGACATTGAATGTAGAGAAATCAAAAGAATGTGATGTGTTAGCAGAGAGATTAGGGCTAAGTAAGGAGGGGGACAGCAGGAACACGCAGGATAGGGGCTACTGATGTGGAAGGAAAACTGAAAAACTTGGTGGTTACTTGGATTTGAGTTATGTGAATGGATACAATATAGCTAATGTGTTAATACCAAATGACAAAGAAAATTAAGGTGCTCTTAAATGAACAGAGAAAGTTCAAGAAGAGACACAGATTGGGGGGTAAAATGATCCAATAATTTCTTACTGCTTATTTATTGCTTTCTGTTGGCCAAAAAGTATACTAGAAACTAAGGAGGCAAAGATCAATTTGACAATGTCCCTAGCTGGGAAGCAAGGCATACGAGCAATACTTGAACTGATTTCTGTGTTTTAGATAACTTGGAGAGCATTAAGAAGAGAAAGAGGTCTAAGTGGAGGCATCAGTCTACCTAAGTCAGGAGTTGGGGTACTCCCATCCTTTCAGAGATAAGAGAAAGAAAAAGAGAGAAGGTAATAGATAAGGATAGGGTAAGAGAAAAGAGAGAAGAAGAAAAAGGAGAGGGCAAAAGAGAAATGGAGAGAAGAGGATGCTCTGAGAGAGAGGGAGAAAGAGGGAAACGGAACAGAAACAGAGATGAGCATGTGTTAGTGAGCATGACAGGGGGCAGGTGAGTTTGAAGGGAAGGTGGTGTTAAGCACATATGTTACAAATTCATTCACAAGAGAGGCCAAAGAGAATTGCATAAAATCTAGTGTCTGCCCCATTTTTCAGATAAAAAAAAAAAGAATTGAATGAAAGAAAGCTGACTTTTCTAAAAAGACCCACTAAGTCAAAAGCAGAGGTCAGTACCAGAAACCAGATCTCAAAACACAAAATATTAAGTGTTTGAGGTGATGGATAAGTAGCTTCACTTCACTATTCCCTGTTGTATTCATAAATTATAACACACTTTGTATCCCATACATTTATACATTTATAAATTGTCAACTTATAACTTTAGAAACACCATGATGTCACTTTCTCAGGTCATTCTACTTTTCTTTTTTGAAATTTGTGTTTAGTGTACTCAAGCTTGTCCAACCTACCCCATTTTGTTGTTGTTCTGTTGTTTTGCTTTAGGCTTTTAGCAGCCTGAAGCCATGGTTTTTAGTTTCTGTTTCTAGTGATAAGTGGAAAAGAGGGATGAGGAAGGGGTTCATTGGCCCAACCAGAAACAGAAACTAAGAACCCATGACATGACTGTTTATTTCCCTTGGACACCCCATCAATCAGGGAGTTCAGACTGGGAAAAAGCTATGACATAGGACTAAGCAGAGGAATTAAGAAGGCTGAAGGTCCTGTGTGTTTTCATATACTTGAAGAACAAAGTCAGGGGCTAGGGGGAGTGCAGATAGAACATTAAGAAGCTGGTAAAAGGACTGGAACCAGAAGTAAAATCCAGTGCTCTTCCATTCTACTCTTTAGCTGATGAATCTTGACTTATTTTATTATACGCTCTTATCTACAAACAAAGGCATAAAGCTCTCTTCCATTATTTCATTTCCAGTAAGTCCAAGGAAAACAGTTAACTGTTAAATTAAAAATACATATATTCAATAGGAACTGTTAACATTACCTGGTTTTCTTTATCTTCCCTGTCAAATGTTGATCAGCAAGTTTTACTAACTTTTCCTACTTCTTTTTTGCCTTTTATTGTGCACCTAATTCTTAATTGTTACAGTGAGAAAGGCTACATGAAATCAGGATGAAATATAAAGAAATGTCAGAAAATTTATATATTAAATCTTCAGTATTACATAATTAGCAGGTAAATAAAGAAGTAACATATCACTGCCCCCACTTAAATTCTAAATAGATCAAGTATGGTATTTATGCCTGTAATAACTTATGTGTTAAATGTTTAACCCAACTTGATAGGCTAAAATGAAGAAGTACTTAATAATTCTCTAAAGGTTAATAAAAGTAAAGACAACATGAACAAAAAGAACCTGTTGACTTTGAGTCACCTCTCAAGAGCAAGATGATTTAACACGTGGTTCTAGATAACAGATAAAAGGGAATTTAATTTTGTTTTTGGCACTTGCTAAACAACTCAGGACATGACAGGTCAATATCCCTGTCTTTTTGTAGCGATAATTTCTAGTTATTCTGAAAGAGTTGTGAAAACAAAAGCTTTAGCATCTATAAGAGAATGGAAGGCAGGGATCATATTTCCCTAGAATCAGTTTTTAATGATAAAACTTATTATGCAGCTGTCAGTCAGAGAAAAATAGAAGATGTCCCAAAGCTCGTGCCAAGGAAAAATAAAAAAAAGAAAGTTCTTGTCAAAGATGTACACAAACTAAGAACGCTGAAGCATGACAGGAGCTTCGTGCTCCTGGCTGCCTTTTCATCAGAAATCTTAGAAGCTGACTGCAAAACAGAACTTTCATTCCATTTATCAAAACAAATACAAGAAAAGTGAATTTTCTGACTGCCAGAGAAAATATTTGTTAGTGTAAATAAAAAAGAATTGAGATGAAATTTCTGGACAAAGGTGAAATAAAAAAATAAAAATAAAAGCAAAGAAAACAGTGCTGCACCTTGGGGAAGGAAAACTTAAGGTCTTTGAAAGACATTGTCTTTTACTCTTACCTTTAGGTGCTTTGTAATTTTTATTCTTTTCCTCATGGAAAGGGTTGAGGATAATCAAGGTTTTACATTTCACTTCTTTTCAATGTTACAGCATCATTAGTCTTGCCAAAAAGATTTCATCTCTGCTCCCATGGGTCAAATTGAGTTAATGATAAGTCGGTGAGATGACTTGATTAGTACTGTAACGTGAGGGAGCCTCAGGTCCAGGAATAATCACAAGCCAACTGTCAGCTCTTTAGGCTTTCTGGCTGTGTTGCTGAAATGACATGCTTGGACTCGAGGGATATAAAGTGACAGAGGGTGGATGGCTCACTCAGCTCTCCTGCAGAATCACAGTAATATTTACCCAGTGCCATCAGAACCACACTAAGCACATCATCAATTAAAAACAAAACAAGTCATCACCACTGCTCTCAACACTCTTACTGAAGTTTATCAGATAATTTTAATAAAATTAACACTTGGATCCTCTCTGCATTAATGCCAAGGAAATTGTTTGATTTTAAAGGACAGTACTACCCAAGTGACATGGAAAAAAAGGCAAAGATAATTCTTTTACCAATAGATAGATAAAGCCCACTAAATGTCTTATCATCAGACCTAATTCCCAAAATGACGGTGACTGAAAATTTGGAGACCCTTTAATGTCTTTCACTTAACATTTTTTGGTAATGTTATTAGACTGTTGAAAAATATGTAACTACAATCAATGAATCCACTTCGATTCATCTCTGATATTGCACATCACATTCACATGTTATTTAAATAAAACTTAAAAATAGGTAACTGTCTATACTTGGAAAAATATATTTTCTTAATTTATAGAAGAAAATAAGAAGAGAATAATCTACTTCTGTAGGATCAAGCTTTATTTTTCATAAAATTTTTTAGCAACAGTATAAATCATAGACACAAAAAGGTAGAGTGATTTGTGTACAACCCTAAAAAAATGTAATATGGAAAACACTGCTTCATAATATACAGTGTAAAAAGTAAGGTGACTTTAGAGGAGCTGTACATAGCAAAGACAAAATTCTAAGGGGGATTTTCAATGCCTCCTTTATCCCTAAAAGAAGATAAATTACCTACCTCTTATGTTGTTCTGAAAAATGAGGTAATATTTTGCATGCCAAGTACAGTGGTTGATCCATAGTATATGGTTGGAAATTTTTATTTTCTGAACAATAAAGCAGGTAGTTTCAATATGTTTCAAGCTTAAAAGCTAATGAAAATGAAACCTAAAAACCCAGTTCTCTGTGGCAGTTGAAATAATTCCAATTATTCATTTCTTCTTGTTGTCACACTGTTTGCCATGTGACTTTGCAACTGCTCACACCAAATGGGGTCTGCTTCCCCATGCTTTGATTTTGGCCTTGCTGTGTGACTTGTTTTGGTCAGCAGAATAAGGCAAAAGTGTGGGTGTGCTAGTTGTCAGCCTATATCTCAAAAAGTCCTCTGTTCTCCTGCTTGCTCATACCTCTTCTAGAATATGAGATACATGTGGAACAGAGCCAAGTTACCCGAGTCGTACCAGCAGAAGCCAACCTATAGCCAGTCCATCAGTGGATATGTAAGTCAGCCAAGATCATCAGAGGCTACTAGTCAACCATCCCACAAGTATAATTAATACGTGCCTGCTCTGTGCCACTGATGAGAGTTTGTGGTTAGTTGTTACTCAGCATTTTGAAACAGGCATTATTTCTAATATCTTCATTCGGTAAATTACCTTAATATTTATGTGAAGATTCTATCAGTGATATCTACACTAAAATAGTACAGTAATTTAAGAATTGCATTTCTATACTAATCTGTTGTGCTGAACTTAAATAGCATCCTGTTTTTAATAATAGAAAACACTTATTAAGTGCTTAAATGTCCCAGATACCACGGTAGTATGGTATATGCCTTAAAACGACTTTTAATGGATATATTTTTGTCTTCGCTTGCTGTATGCTCTTTGAGGAGGGGTTAATTTCTTCACTACACTCCCACAGAGAATAATAAACTAAATATTGGAATAATAATTCTATAAATAATAAGACATATCAATACTTTATTACAAACTGTAGTAGGTTACCAGTAACTTACCCCTCCAGCACTGCAATATAACATTGATTAAATTTAACTTTTTTATGTCAATATGATTTTGTAGGTATATATAAGAGAATCTGTTAGTTGGAATTTCTTTACTCTTGACTGAATAGGACAGAAAATAATACATTTATATATATATATATATATTTTTTCTTTTTTATCCAAATCCCTCTAATACTGCTTAGGTGCATAAATAGTACATGTTTTTCTCAACTACATAACTCCCTTGTAAATATTTTATATCTCCCCTTGAATTGGTCAGTCAATTCAGTCTAGTAAAATCATCATGAAGTATACTAGTTAATAAAATGCTAAGAGGGCCCAGTTTTAAGTGAGACTATCTCGTGACATGGAGCTCTTCTCCCCTCCCCCAAATAAATCATTACAATTACATTATAATGATATTCCAAGTATGTTCTTCTCATTTTGTTCCTTAGAAAGATTATGATTTTAACACATCAACTTAGGTCCTTCTTTCCTTCTAGAAACTTATTAGAGAGACTAATTTGCTTTTCATCACACATCTGGAAGATAAAGAGAACAATTCTACATTATAATAGAAACAGGATATAATATACAAAAGTCAGCATGACTATTGATACACACTTTAACACCTCATTTGATTTTATAAAATGTAAGTGTCTGGTAACATGCTTGCTTCAGGGAATAGAGAGACAGATAAGGACTGCAGGGTTGATGATTATTTGTCCATTTCCTTTTCTGAAGCCACCATTTATTTTATGCCTTCATGCATGATTAACAGCTTGCAGATCCTTCACATATAATCAATAGTTGTGAAGTCTTATATTAGGTTTAGAGATTAGACAGCCTTGATTATAAATTTTATTGATTTGTACAGCTTAGCTGCAGAAATCCCTGTACATTTTTCAGAGATTAAATTAAAAGGAGATATATGGCCTGCACATACTAGAAATGCTAGTGTGATTATAAGGTGTGACCTCTTTATACTCATTCCTCTAGATGAATAAAACCTATCTAGTGCACCAAAACATGAATCAGCATGTCAACAAGCATCAAGCTGAGATAGTAAACACAGTGAAAATGTGACAAAAAGAATTACAAAACTGCAAATAAACCTGCCTTAGACTATAATTAATACAGGCGACTTGCAAGGATTAATTGCTTCAGCTCATTTGTAAATTAGGAAATTGACAAAGATAAGAATAATGAACTCCTTCACTTCTACCTGGAAAATCTGAGAACATATTAAAATGGAAGAGTCATGATCTTTTTTGAGATAATGGAATGAAGACAAATTTTTTTAAATTACTAGAATAAATATGGTCATTTGAAAGTTAGGAAATAACTTAGGGACTATTAAAATCATAGCAAACTCAGCCTTATGAATATTCTCACTTTAAAAGCTTTCATAGTGCTGCTATATATTTTATGTCCAGTAATTTTAAGGACTGAGGTTGTCCAGAAAAATTTTAATAAACATCCATACACTGAAACATTAGGGGAGCCTAATATTTTCCAGTGTCAAAATCTCACCTTTCTCTTTTCATGTTTGTAATTTTTTGAACATTAGTTGATCTTTGTTTCCTATGAAATCTCTTTCAATATTCTAATTGATTATATCTCAGAGCTGAATAACTCCTATATATGAAGACACATAGAATATAAATAAATAAAAGGAAATTCCTCTTGATATATACCTAAATAATTCATTTCTTTACTTTTGAAAAGGTATTCAAAAGTAAGTGTTAGAGCATGAACTGGCTCGAGCCAGTCTACAGGGTTAGTCAAATGTTCCAGTGTGTTTTATAGTGGCCTTAGAAGAAAATAAAATCTCCTTAAATTGTATAAGTAAAAAAGTAATTTATGTCTCAAATACTTTATGCAAGGTATTTAATTAAGATATTTTCTATTAAAATCTACTACTATTTTCAAAGGGTTCCATTCCACAGGAAATCACAAAATGTTAACAACACATAGAAACGACAACCTAGAAGACTGGTTTCCTTTGTTTCCATAAATATGTCCTGGTAGGGCTACATTTTGAAGTATTATGTAGAAGGTTCTAATCTGTATAAATATTCACAGAAGAATAGTAAACAAAGAAGTGTGTAAAAGTGTAAAAGAACTGGGAGATTATTTCATGTTTGTTCTGTGAATATACTAACTTAGTATTCACATTTTTTTCTACATCCAAATCTAAATTACCAGTTCCAACCTAGCTCTTGAATTCTGGCTCTGAATTTCAAACTGCCTGTGGATTTCCATCTGGATGCTAATATAATGTTTAAAACAAGATTCATCATCATTTTCCACAAGCACCTCATTCTAACCTTCCTGCTTCTATTAAGGATGTTAGTTTCCAGACTAAAACCTTAAAGACATCATTGGCTCTTCTGTTTCCCACATAGTACCTCATCTGTTACCACATCTACTTAATACATCATTTAATATAATAGCTAGCAATTCTATGTCTTTTTCTTTCATTCAGGTCCTAACTTTCTCTCACCTGAACTATTAGGAAATCTTGCTACCATTAATATTCATAGTGTATTTTTCATCTAGACCTTTGAAAGTACAGTTCTAATTACATAACCTGTTCACATCCAAATAATTGTTAGAGATTTCCTAGGATGAACAAAATACAGTAAAATGCCTTTGCCCTAGAGCCCAAAGATCTTCTAACACATAGTGCCACTTTATCTCATGTATTCTCCCAATGCCCTATACTCCTGCCAATGTATTCATCTGCTACCAAAACTAATGTAGCACTGTCCAACATATGTACCATTATCTATTTCATTCCATCTAATCAGAATACATTCCCCACTATTGATCTCCCTATTGAAACACTTCAATGTAGAGTTGGAATATACTATTCTTTCAGTGACAGCTTGGTCAGGAAGTCTGACAAAGTAACAATGTGATAAATAATGTTTTAATCTGTACCTTTATTAAAGCATTTAATGCATCATGTCTTCCATTCATTTGGGTGTTTGGGCCTCCTATATTAACACGTATGCCCTCTCTAGAGATAAATGGTTTATGTAAACTGAGTCTTGAAGAAATGGAGCTCAATAAATGTTAAAACAAGCAACTAATATGTTTGCAATATATAGCAGATTTTAAAAATATAGAATAAACTCCAAGATCAGTTGCCTAGTAGCCATTTAAATGTCAAGAACAAGTATCTTTATCAAATAATTAGCAAGAAATTACAGAGGCCAGATCACTTGCTTAGAATTCAAAGGTGAATAAGACATGACTCCTTTTCTTATATAACTCACTGTGTGATAAAAGTGAAGGCCCACAGGCAGGTAAATTTATTTTAATGTAATAAAGTCAAAGCACTGTTGGAAAAAAGAGGTAAATAAAATTTTAAAAGTCTTAAGACAGGAAAAATAGGGCGTGTCCCCACAGGAGTTACAAATGTGGTCTTTTCCAAAACATGACTACATGCTTTCATTGTAAAGTGAGGGGGTATGAAGGACCTTCAGAAATAATAGGGTTGCAGAAAATCTTCCCTGCCATTTTAGACAGGAAAGAACTTCTATTCAAATTGCCGTATTTATCTACTACTATATCCATTCATCCCAGGTGGAAGAAAGTGTGCATGGGGAAGGAAAATACTTTTGAATGTTAATCTCCAGCTAAACCTCTTCCTGAACTCCAGACTCATGTATTCAATTACCTACCAAATATTTCAACTTAATTTTCTAATGAGTATCTCAAACAAAATCTCCAAATCCGAGCTAATGTGATTCCATAGCATGTTCCCTGGCCAAGCTTTCCTATCTCAGTAAAGTCACTCCAGTTCAGTTCAAAAACCTGAGAATCATCCAAAGGCCTTCCTTCATCTTGATATAGACAAGAGGCAGGGAAATGCTGGGTAGAAGAGGGCAGTTCCCCAGCAAAGGCCCCACCCTCAAGCCTGGAAACACGTGGCCCTAAATGGAAACAGGTATTCCTGTTTTTGCACCCAAATGTTGCCTTTTGGCCTGCCATGCTGCCCTATCCTCTTCCCATATTAACACCAAACCCCAGGTTCCTTGAGCAGATGAGCAGAAGAACAGAGGAACAGAAGAGTGGAGCGGCAGAGAAGGAGAGAAGACAAGGAGTGTCTAAATGTTGAGGAGCTTGGCTGGGGAAGGCTGGAGAGGAGATCAGCCGTGAAACAGCCAAACTCCAGGGGAAGATCATCTTCCCACTCCACCCCCTTTCCGGGTCCCCATACATCCCGCTGAGAGCCACTACCACTCAATAAAACCCCCTCATTCACCATCCTTCAAGTCTTTGTGTGACCTGATTCTTCCTGGACACCAGACAAAGACCCGGGTACCAAGAAGGCACTGAGCTGATTAACACTTAAGCCATCTGCAGATGGCAGAGATAAGGAGCACTGTAACATACCCACTGGGGCTTCAGGAGTCACAGGCACCCACCCCTAGTTGCTACTGTGGGGCTAGAGCCCAAAAGTGCTCACCCTGGTTCCTGCACCTGCCCATCTGCATGTTCCCCCTCCTGTAAGGGGTTTCAGCTGAACAGGTGAGCCACACCCCTGTTGAACATCCTGCGATAGGGGTCACAGAACTCTCCCACTTCAATCTGACACATCACATCCTTTTCATCAGACAATTCTTTTTTTCCCCCTGCATGATGTTTAGATTAGAATCTGTCCACTTGACCATGACTTCCACCAATGCTATTTATTTCATTTTAGCCATTATCACCTGGGGCTGCAATCAGTGAAACTCTCCATACCATATCAAATGAACCCTGCTTCCTCTTTGACCTGTCTTCCCACAGTTTGTTACAGGGATCCTGAAAAAGCCCCCAGTGACTTCCCATCTGAATCACAGTAGGAGTGGAAGGCCAGGTCCTGCAGATGGTGTCTCCCCACACCATCTCACCTGCACTGACCTCAGCACCTACTACTCAGCCTTGCTTGCTCCGTTCAAACATGCCAGCTACGCTTCTTGTCCCAAGCAGGGCCTTTGTACCTGCTTTTCTCTCTGCCTAGAATGTTATTCTACCAGATATTCATGTGTCTCCTTTCCTCGCCTCCTGTAAGGCTTTATTCAAATGTCACCTTCTTAATGAAGCTTTCCTTGATATCCATTTACTTCTTCATTTTTCTCCCAAGCAATTATTGCCATCTAAAATCATTTATATTTTACTTAACTTCATTACATTCTGTCTTTCCTTTTCTTTTTTTGAGACGGAGTCTCACTCTGTCACCCAGGCTGGAGTACAGTGGTGCGATCTCGGCTCACTGCAAGCTCCACCTCCCAGGTTCTCGCCATTCTCCTGCCTCAGCCTCCCGAGTTGCTGGGACTACAGGCACTGGCCACTACGCCGGGCTTTTTGTATTTTTAGTAGAGACAGGGTTTCACTGTGTTAGCCAGGACGGTCTCGAACTCCTAACCTCGTGATCCGCCTGCCTCGGCCTCCCAAAGTTCTGGGATTATAGGCATAAGCCACCACGCCCGGCCTATATTCTGTCTTTCCATACTAAAATACTTGGTACGTAATCATTGCTCAATACATATTTGAGCTGATAAATAACTGACTGAATAAATAGAATGGATCATTGTGTATTCTTTAGTCAGTAAGTTCCTGGCATATAAGTGACCTACACATTTTTACTGATTGAAGGTTACTCTTCGGTAACAGAAAAGCCATCAACGAAAGCTTATGTCTGAATGTCTTTATAAAATGAGATTTAAACAACTGACCAGGGTAATGCTCTAGAAAAACCCTTAACATGGTTTAATGCTAAAGAAGCAAAGTAAAAATATTAATTAGAATAACAAAAATGTCAAATTACTTGGTGAAATCAACTGAGAGGAGAGGAAAAGGTCATTGTGAAACTTTGAAATGTTCCAAAGGTGAAAAGTCTTGGACAGAAGAAAGTGTAAACATAAAGATGAAAATCTGAAGAGTACTTAAAACATTTTATCTATCATGAATATCAAACTAGTTTAATGATATTCATTTTTAATTGCCTTTTATTGTTTCTTGATCTTTCAAATACTTCTCTTGTTTTCTCAACTAGAGAGCAAGTTTCTCTAGGGCAAGAAACGTATTACCTCACTTATTTCTTTTTTTTTTTTTTTTCTTTTGAGACGGAGTCTTGCTCTGTCGCCCAGGCTGGAGTGCAGTGGCACGATCTCGGCTCACCGCAAGCTCCGCCTCCCGGGTTCGCGCCATTCTGCTGCCTCAGCCTCCGGAGTAGCTGGGACTACAGGCGCCCGCCACCACGCCCTGCTATTTTTTTGTATTTTTAGTAGAGACGGGGTTTCACCGTGTTAGCCAGGATGGTCTTGATCTCCTGACCTTGTGATCCGCCCACCTCAGCCTCCCAAAGTGCTGGGATTACAGGCGTGAGCCACCGCACCCGGCCTTACCTCACTTATTTCTTATTCAGTGCTAAGTGTAGAGTAAGAAAGCGATGAATATATTAACTTTAAACAATTTTACCCTAAAGGAGGTGTTACGAAATCTAAAGGCTTTGAGCATAAAATATCAAAATAAAACTCATGAAGACAGAAAGAAAATTACTGAAATCAATGGATGTTACTTTCATAGCATAGGAAGAACAGATCTTTGGTGTCTTAGGTTACTTGATATTCCCATTTAAAAATCAGATGCCCTGCACTAACTAAGTTTAATTCATAAACAACTGATTTTTTTCAGGTTACACTCTAGAACAGATGCTGCCATTTAATGCACATTAAACATCTTTTTCATTCACATGGAGACCTAAGGAGTTAGTTTTTACAGCCTGCGTCATTACCATTTACCTTGAGTTTAATGCCACTTATGTTCTATGATTCTGGAGATCAAGTCTCATTGTACACTGCTTTTAATTTTACCACTCCGATTATGATAATAGCCTAGAACAAGTTTCACAAGAGTATTTCCTGGCTTCTATGTGTTTTTCTCCATTGCTGAAAAGGTCATACATGTATATGAAATGCCTTAGTGAACAGGCTGTGGAATCAGACTACAGGTAACTTAGTGCAAGTTACTTAACATCCACAGACATCCTTCCCAAATCTATGAAATGAGAAAAACAAAAAACTAGTATCTACCTTATAGAGTTGAATTAAGGATAAAATAAGATGCGATAATAGAAAGTACATAGAAAATTACCTGGCAAACTTTATGAATAAAATGTAGTTATTAACTTTATTGTAGTTGTATATTAGTGGTCCACTAGCATTATCACTTATAAAAATAAAACCCTTGAGAGTTTTGGGAAGAATCGTTTAGTTTTGTTGTTGTTTCTTTTTCTTTCCCCAAACCCAATTAAGTGTTTGGCTGTTTATCCATCTTCTACTCCCTCTGTAGAAAATAAAAGCATTGAGTTTTGATTTTCAAAATGTCAAGCTAAATAATTTTGGGAAAAAAGCATGATTTCTGGATTACTTTGCCCATTTTCAGGTGCTTGAAAAAATGTGTGTGTAAAGCGCTAGGAAAAACAACTAACTTGAAAAAAAAAAGCACTAAAATCTAATAGAAGTGTGACATATAGAAAACTACACAAAAGAATAGACAATGCTGCTAAACACAAAGCTTTTCCTCTAAACCAAATCCCTTGGGCCTACCCACTCATTTTCATACATGAATGCAAACTGTCTTTTTATCTACAAGTGAAATTCTCAATATATCATTTAACATTAGTACTGAATATTTCAATAATTCTTTTGAATGTAAAACTATGGGGAGAATTGTTTAAAAAGTTTAGTCGTTTATTTATCTTCAATATAAATGAGAGCTCAAGCACATTTCTAGCACCCAAATGTCATGATCAAACTGTAGCTATTTATAACATTCCAATATACTTTAATTCTTTCTTGGAATATTTTAGTATTTTTTTGTAAAGGTAAATAAAAAAGAATTTGGTAAGTATAAATGATCTGAGGGCCTAACAGAGGTACTTTACTATAAATTCTTCAAAACTGGGTTTAAAGAAATATCCACTTGGCTAATTTTTGGATTGTTCTGAAATTAGAATGATTTGTCTTAAATACAAGACAACATAGCTAGACATTTACTAATACATTCTGATAAATAACCAAAATTAAGCAATCCATGTAATTATACTTCAACAACTGATGCTACTCATAACTTGCTAGTACATGTTTATCTCATATAGTATTATATAATATATAAGTATATAAATTGTTTGTTTTTAGAAGAAATTTATAGCATAAATGGAAGGCCTTAAGAAAATCATGAAAATGTGGTACTCAGCAATTACAGTATGACAGTTTCACCTTTTCCTTTTCTTCTTTTACATGCTTTGAGAACACATTGTTTGTATACATTTTCTAAGGAAAACTATAATTCAATTCTCTGATGCACCAAGGCATAATGTATACCAGGAATACATATTTTAAAAATATTTTGAAACACTTCCCCTAAAGCAGAATAATGTATTAATTCCTCTAGCCCAAAGCTGTATAATGTAAAAAGTGATGGAGAAATAAATTGTATTTCTTCAAGGTCTTTAAAATTATTTGTATTTGAGTAAAAAACATATAATTTTAAGTAAAAGAATGATCAGTTATTTCATCAAAGTTAAAATAAAGAAAAAGTGTTTGTATATCAATTTGCCTTAAGTTACATACATACTATGTCATCAAACTTCTTTTAAAAATGTAACAAAAATATCTGTATTAAATCATAATACTTGTAACAATTTGAGAGATGAAGATTTTCAAGTGTCTCTAATAGAAAACTTGACTCTCTCAGAGTGGATCTGCATCATTGGACAAGGATTCACATGGAGAGGTATAATTGAGATGGCACCTCCTGATGAGCAAGACAGCAGTCCCCTACATGGGCACATGCCAAGGACTGTGTCACGAGAGGCCTCTATTTTCTCCTTGACATAATCATATTTCTTTTCATTTGTCAACCATCTCATCATTGCAATTTGCTTTTAATTTTACATGGATCAGAAAGTGATCTCTCAACCATTTGATTATGTCCCAGGCCATGCCAAAAACAAACCAAATCCCTAAATAGCAAAACACACACACACACACACACACACACACACACACACACACACACACACAAATTTCACTCAGAATTAGTTATTCCTAAAGCACATTCTTTAAGTGCCAACATTGTTTTAGTGTTTGTATTGACTTTTTAAAAATCGTACTAAGTTTAGTGTTTCCCTCATATGACGCTAAAATAACAAGCTAATACAGTCATTTTAGTGAATAAAAAATAGCTAAGACATTATCAATAAAAATGCAATAAAATAACAAAAGAAGAAAAAATTTGACTGTTGATTGTACCTAGTGCAGAAAAAGAGAGTAGAGGCAACAAGGTACGTACTATGTGCCATGGAAAAAGCTTTATATATATTATTTCATTTAGTACCCATAAGAACTCTAAATGGCAGATTTCCCTTGCTAAATTTTACAAAAGAGGAAATTGACTAACTTACTGATAGGGGATTGAATAATGTATTGATAGTACCTCTGGTGAGGTACCTTGCCATAACCTGTCTTCACCTGGCCAGAATTCAAATTCAGTTTTGACAGATGCAAAAACAATATTCTCTTTAACACTGCACAGAGTTTACATTTAAAAATCTGGAAATTGTAAGTAATGATATACAAAGAATTTCCCAGTGTTGTGGTCTGCTTGGGCTTCCATAAACTATCATAGTCTGGGTGGTTTCCAGAGCAGAAATATATTTCTCACAGTTCTGGAGGCTGGGAATCTGAGATTGGGGTGATAGCAAGGGCAGGTTCTGATGAGGTACCTCTTCCAGATTACAGATAGCTGCCTTCTATTTTTGTCCTTACACGACAGAGAATGAGCTAGTTCACATCTCTTTCTCTGATAAGGACACTAATATAACAGGTGTTGCATCCTTATACTACATTTAAACCTAATTGTTTCCCCAAACTCTGACCTCCAAATGCCATCTCAATGGAGTAGAGGGCTTCAACATATGGATTTTGGGGGAACACAAACATTTAGCTCATAATACACAGAACAGAATGATAATTTCCAAGAACATTTAAAAAAAACTACCATGTGTCAATGATTATATTTAATTTATACTGTTAAAACAATAGCTTGTAAAACAATATTAGAGTAGCAAAATGCAAATGAACAGCCTCATCAGCCTTCTAAATGAGTCCTATGCTTGTCATACTTGCCCTTTTACAAGTTTCAAAAGTTTGAAATGTAAAATTAATTATGATTTTCAATGTAACCCACATACATTATTAATAATTGTTACATTATTAATGGCTCACACCTGCACAAGGATTGTTCTGATACAGTTGTCTTATCTACCTTATTTTTAAGTTGTATTCATTATTTACATATGTTAAATGTGTTTTTAAACTTAATACTCTTTTCTTGCTATATGACAACAATTTAAAAAGGTATCAATGTCTCAGAATTGGTTCATCAAGACTAAAAATGGTAATGAACATAAGCTAGCTCCTTACCATAACGACAGAGTCCAGTGTCAAAATATAATGTGAATCTCTTTGTGCTAGAACAAGCAGTGATAGAAAGACAAGAAAGGAAGCACAACTTAAATACTTGAAAACTTGGATTTTCTTATACTGGTGATCCATTCATACCTAGAGCTCAGTGAACTGTTGGTAATAAAATATTTTGAAATAGTGGGCTAAATCTATTGACTTTTTCACCATTTTCAAAACAAGCCCAGTAACCTCTGTAGTAAAGCAAACAACTGTTTATAGAACAAGAACAAAACATTTTCCATGATATAATTGATAATTTTATTCCCCCAAAATGAGAAAGGATGAAAAAACAGAGACTTCAATTGATTCTCTCATAAGTAAAGCAAGTGTATACACACTACTTTTTTGGGGGGGGAGGAGGAGAGACAGGCTCTTGCTCTGTTGCCCTAGCTGGAAATCAATGGCTCAATCATAGCTCACCTTAATCTGGAAATACTGGGCTTAAGCAATCCTCCTGCCTCAGTCTCCTGAGTGTCTAATACTACAGGTATGCACCACCATGTTGATTTGTTTTATTTTTTGGGGCTACTTATTTTTATTTTTGTGGAGACAGGGTCTCACTATCTTGTCCAGACTGGTCTTAAACTTCTGGCCTCGAGCAGTCCTCCCATCTTGGTCTCCAAAAATGCTAGGATTACAGGTGTGAGCCACCATGCCCAACCTATCAACACTACTTTTGAGTTGGCCCCTGATAAAATTAATGATAAATATTATGCACTCAAAGAATCAGGACACCCTATTTACAAAATGTCTACATCAATGAACAATGCTAGACATTGTCTAATGTCAAGGTAGAGGAGCCATACAATGTGGAAAAGTTATCAATCCCTGTCTTTTGGAAGTAGTAGCCGACGTTTCATTTAACAGCTGAACAAGCCATTAATGTGCAGAGGATATGCTCTTGATAGATGTGCAGAATCAGCTTCAGGGCAAAAGGCTCCATATCTTTTGGTACCAGTCACCCCATAGAGCTAGGACTACATATGCAGGTGGATTCAACACTAGAGGAGCACAGATATTTATGCAGAAGGGAAAGTTGGCACTTTGAAGATAGAAGTAAAAAAAAAAAATGTCAATATAGATATTTCATTCATTTGAGAAGAGCCAAGAGTCAAGCACAGTACTGTCTGAGCTTGATTCAGTGTTGAAGAAAATGATCAAAAACAGTGAATATAACCATATATTTTCAGTGTATTGAGTGAAAAAATGAGGAATGAATGCAAGACTGCCTTGCCAAACTGAAGTATGTTGACTCTCAAGGGGAAACAAGCTCACATGGGTTTTCAAAATGAAGGTTGAGATTAACACATTCCTTGCTGACACAAATGCTATTTAAGACCATTTGAATTATTTCAGGTGGTGTGCCCAAATAGTCCAATTCAGCAATCTTTTCAATTTACTGACTGTCAGGACCTACATATCACCACGTCTGATGGTGAGGATCGGCAGTTCAAATGACACAATTGTTGCAAGCTTAACTCTAATCTACAACAACATCACAATAGTTTTCTATATTTTTGAGAAAGCAAGTGATGTCCTATCGGTAGGCATATTTAAAAATGCATCCACTGCTATAACCAAATATGAAAACAAATTTCAACTCCTGAATGCAACCAAAGACCATGTAAAAATCTATTTATCATTATATCCTAAGTTAATACATTTAACCTTCTAGCTTTTCAGTCAGACATGCTTGCCAACTTAGACGCTGACAGTTTGCCAAAAGTACTTTCCAGTAAAACATCTCTTCACTATTTCTGGTTTAACCCTAGATCCAAACATCCAGAACTGCCAGTAACTAAATATCTGCTAGAGATCATTCTTGTTGACCTGTAATTATGGAAGTATTTACTAAGTTAGAGGAAATAAAGAATAAGAGAAAAAACAGACTAGCTGTAGAACTTAAACTGTATCTCAGAATATTCCTCTTAAATCTGCATACAAATGACAGTAAAAATTGCTATTTTACATCATTTTTCTGATATGAAACAAATATCATTTTTATCTGGAAATGTAGTTTTATGCTTACTTAAAATGTACCTATAACTGGGTTTTCTAAGTTATAGGAACACACCTCCCTCCATGAGAGTCACTCTCTCTCACCCAACCACCCCATCTGGCTAACTCTTCTTAATTATCCTTTGATATCACTCAGCTCAGGTGCTCTCCAGGATTCTTTATTTGATTCCATATCTTCTCCATGCTCAGTTAGATGCCTTTATAATGCTTTGTGATATGGGTATGGATCTCGCATTTTTAGATGATCAGTTTATATGCTTGTCTCTACTACTGGAGTGAGGGCACTTCTCATTTCTTTTCTATTTTTATATTTCCAGAACCTAACATGATATCTAACACATAACAGGTGTATCTGTGAATGACTTATGATTGAATGAATGCTTAATTTTACCTGTGAAGATGGAGGGGAGGGTGCTGAAAAAGGTTTTACAGCTTTCATGAATTTATTCTTCTAATGTTATTACCACTCTTACTATCCATGTCTGAGCATGAATAGCAAACTAAATCTTGATAAGACAGAGAGCTGGTTGTGAGGGCTAGTTACAGATTTGCTCAACAAATATGTTAATTTTAGAAACTGACTTTTACTTAGTATCCAAACTTTTTACTATAGCATTCTTAATGTGTATTTTATTTTAATGACACTAGCATTTACTTCAGTACTTAGTTTGAATCACACTGCAGAGAAATTTAGTAAAGAGAATGGAAAATATAGGTAAAAATATGTAAAAACTGCATGCATGGCTAGTACATATGATACAGTTTCTTTAAGTGAATATTATAACTTTCTTGGATGGAAAGACATTAAAAAGAAAAATAAGGTATTGAATCATCAGTACTTTTTATGTTAATATGAGATCTCAGCATTTGATTTTAGGATGGAGAGAACACAATTTAGTAAATTACAATGAATTCTTATTTGCTCAGCAAAGGGAAAACACTTAGGAAAACTGTGGTACAATAAAAGCATGTGACAGAGGAAACATAAATCTAAGTGTATCACAGTTTCAGAGCTCTGGAAGAGCTCTTGACAGGTTGTCTGGGCTGGCAATTGCCCTGCCTTGGCAAGTTCATTTTCAAAACACAACAGACAAATGCTTGTGTGTACTTACAAAATATCTCTAGGGGAAGAGGAGTCATAATCCCCCTTAATAATTCACTAAGCTTTCCGAACATGGAAGCTAAATATAGTTTAGCACATAGAGTTCAGAGGCCATATTCTTTTGCTTTCACTTTGTTGGTGAATTAGAATAGCCTGGTTAACTGGGTAAATGCAGTTTGATTTCTTACAGGCAACTCAAACTCATGTCGGTAACTGAATTCATCTTTCCTATCTCTTTTTCCAAAGGATTCTTCCTTCTACAGTCATCTACTCACTTACTCAAACCTGAGAGTCATCCTGCATATGATAGTTGTTCCTCTCTTCCATACACTTACATCAAATAAAACTCCAAATCTTGCCATTTGTTACTCTGAAATTATCCATCCTCACGATTCTGAGACCTCATCAAGAGGAATGACATAGCCTCCTAACTAATCTCTTCGCCTCCAGTTCTATCAGCCTTCCCTTTGTTTCTAATTACACCAGAAAATTCTCAGTATATTAGTTATACAAAGACAGACACAAAATGTATCTATGGTATTGAGCCAAGTAACTGTATACAGATAGAATATACATATGTACACAGACAGAAGAAAAAAACTTGAAAGAATTATACCAGTGTTAACAGTTAGTTGTTGCTTTGTGCACATACATAATTTCTAATATAAGCATGTATTATAAATTACATAAATATATATAAGAAATTATATATATAAAATAACATATATATAGTCAGTTCTCAATACCTGCAGGTTCTGCATCTACAGATTCAACCAACCATGGGTTGAAAATATTTGGAAAAAAATTAAAAAATACAAATAAAAATACAGTATAACAACTATTTACATACCATTTACATTTTATAAGTATTATAAATAATGTGGAGAAAATTTAAAGTATATAGGAGGATATGCTCAGGTTACATGAAAATATTACACCATTTTGTGTAAGGGACTTGAGCATCTGCAGATTTTGTGATCCATGGGGGTCCCAGAACCAATTCCTTGTGTATATTGAAAGACAGTTGTAAATATAAACACCAATTCTCCTGCCTTGGCAAGATCATTTTCAAATCCCAGTAAACAAATGCTTCTGTGTACTTAAAAAACACCTCACAAGGAAGAAGTCACAGTCCTCTAAATACATACAAAGTATACACACACGGACACATGTATACATAAGTGCACACACATATATATACTATCCTTAATTACAGAATGTATCTTTATGGTATCCAACAGTGTTTGAGTAAAACTGTGATTAATGTTATAAAAGAAAACTGTAAAGAACTATGACAACATATAACAAGAAAGCCTTGATTGATAATAAGGCATCAAGTAAGGCTTCCTTGAAGAAAGACCATTTGAGTTGCATTTTGAAGGCTAAGAGGCAGGAGTTGATTACTTAGAGGTTTGTGGGGTGTATTCCAGATTGTATTAGTGCTTTTTCACACAGCTGTAAAGAACTACCTTAGACTAGGTAGTTTATGAAGAAAAAAGGTTTAACTGACTCACAGTGCTGCATGGGTGGGAATGCCTCAGGAAACTTACAATTATGGCAGAAGGTGAAGAGGAGGCAAGGCATGTATTACATGACGGCAGGAGAGAGAGAGCAAGTGAGCGGGGAAGTGCCACACTTTAAAAGCATCAGCTTGGCCAGGCGTGGTGGCTCATGCCTGTAATCTCAGCACTTTCAGAGGCGGAGGTGGGCGGATCACCTAAGGTCAGGAGTTCAAAACCAGCCTAGCCAACATGGTGAAATCCTGTATCTAGTAAAAATACAAAACAATTAGCCAAACATGTTGGCATGCACTTGTAATCCCAGCTACTTGGAAGAATGAGGCAAGAGAATTGCTTGAACCAGGGAGGAGGTGGAGGTTGCAATGAGCCAAGGTCGCGCCACTGCACTCCAGCCTGGGTGACAGAGTAAGACTCAGTCTCAAAAAAAAAAAAAAAAAGCTCTAGCAAGAACTCACTATCACAAGAACAGCCTGGAGGAAACGACCCCCAAGAACTAATCACCTCCCACCAGGTCCCTGCCTCAACTTATGTGGATTATGATTCAAGATGAGATTTGGGTGGGGACACAGAGCAAAACATATTACAGGTATACAGCTCAGAGTAAAGACCCAGAGACAGAGCAGACCCAGAGGGGCCACTGAAATAAAGGCATGCCAGGAGCAAAAAGAAAGGCAGGTATAAGTGGCATTTATGTCAACTTGTGCTATATATGTAAGTATCACAGACTTTGTTTTTCTTCAGCCATTCTTTTGTTTATACATGTGTCTTATTCTGCGATTAAAAAAAAAATTAAACCAAAACACAGTCCCCCAGGGTGATATTCCTAAAATGCAATCCCATTATGTCACTCCTCTACTCTCTGTCACATTCAAGGTAATGCCAATCATCCCAGGACATATATCAAGCACTTGGCATTCTGGCCAACTTCCAGCTACTGGACTGCACCCAGCACCATACCCCAAAATCATACAGGTCTCCAGCCAGCCTGAACAGCTCAGCATACCTGACTGGACACAGTCATTTACTCTTGGTTTCTAAGTCAAACACATATGTCCCCTAGGATCCTCTGGCTCATACATGTAGGACATTCAGAAGCAATGTCCCACTTCTGTAGCAAGTGTTCTAGGAAATGTACCTTCTATAGCCACATATAAAATTGGAAGTGCTCACCCTTTCTCCACTTTCCCACACATGTCTCCTTGGTACAACTGAAACAGACACTTATGTAAAAATGTACAGAATGTCAAAAACATATAGACAGGTATACAGCCACAAGAGTAATGATTTTATTATAAAAAGCTGATCATAAAAATAAAATTAGGAAGCAAGTGGTATATAATAAAAGCCATATAAGAGTAATTAAGGGAGTGAAGAGATAAATTTCACACTAAAGTTTTATAGATGCTTTTTTCCATCATTAAAATGGGAATGCTAATCCCTATATTACAAGCTTTCAAGGTTTAAATGACTTAGAATAACAGATATAAAAGGGATTTCAAAAAGTAATATATGATATACATTTTATTATTAGTTTATAACTTATAATTAAAACCTGAATGTTAATGTTCACATGGTATTACAGTGAACAAGTCTTATTTTAAGATAATCAGATACAGATGGAAAATAAGTGAATTTCCTATTAAATACATCCTTCTTTTACTCTCCCATATTTAATGCATACTAGTCACTAACTTGAAAATGTGTTTTTTATCTGCAAAATCAACACACAGAGCGGTATACATTCACAAGTAAACACCCTCTCCACTTCACCCTGAATCCTCACTAAAGCCCTCCTTAACATTCCTCCCCAAAACTACTCACAGACTATTGCTTATATGTGAAAATCACAGCTTATCTCAATCATTTGTTACATTTTACAAGATTTCTTCTACTTCTGTTACACTTGATACTCCTAATTATATCTTCTATACTTGATGGTCTAATCTGCCTTTTATTTACAATGTCAGTTACTGGTCAGGGATGGATTAAGGTTAACAGGGACACAGTATTATCTAAATTTAGATTTAGGACCTACAACCTCTTAGAAATGAATTTTCTATGCTTCTTATCTTTATTTAATTTAGAATTAATTAGTTTTATCTATACTTAATATTTGAAATGTAGTACAGATATAATCTGACCCTTATTTGAAATATCAGGCCATTTGATTTATTCTTGGATTATGAAAACATCGTGCTACAGATACATGTGAATATATTGATAACTATATATCTCTGGAAAAATCAGATGTCTTCACAAAATTTTTTCAACAATAAGATGTGTCACAACCAAAGAGGGACAGATAAGATTTGGCAGATAAGACATGGTGCAACCAAAGAGACAAGAATCCAAAGCTTGGGTAAAAATAATCTATTCTTTCTAAGACTGCAAAGGAAATCCACATCCCTATACCTATATCAGCAATCAACAATATGGTGCAGTGGATTAGAGGAGAGTTGTGGAATTTGTTATATTCCAATCTGGATCCACGAATAACCAGGTGAACATTGGCAAGGTATGTAATCTTTCTAAGCCTCAATTCATTCATCTGTAAAATGCAGGTAGAGAAAAGATCTTGTGTTGAGCAATCATTTATGAAGAGACAAAATTGTCATTACTGAAACCTAATTTCAAAATATTCCCATTAATATATAAACTAATAGGCTGGGCATGGTGGCTCACGCCTGTAATCCCAGCACTTTGGGAGGCCGAGGCGTGTGGATCACGAGGTCAGGAGATCAAGACCATCCTGGCTAATATGGTGAAACCCTGTCTCTACTAAAAATACAAAAAATTAGCAGGGCATGGTGGCGGGTGCCTGTAGTCCCAGCTGCTCGGGAGGCGGAGGCAGGAGAATGGCATGAACCCGGGAGGCGGAGGTTGCAGTGAGCCGAGATCATACCACTGCACTCCAGCCTGGGAGACAGAACAAGACTCTGTCAAAAAAATAAAAAATAAAAAATAAAAATAAAAAATAAACTAATTAATGGGAATAGCAAATCTATGTTGATGAACAAGGATATGTCAATTCCAGATTTATGGATTACAGCGTTCAATACCCCCTAAAGCTCCTCTAGGAAGAAATAAGTTCTGTAAAACCCAGTTTGAAAAGCATTTTCCTATGTTAGTGTTAGAGAGATTGTAATTTGGAGTGCTAAGCAATATATCTTCAATAACAATGGGGCAAATCAAATTGATTAGGTAATGCTTCCGCAAGGAGTATAACATTTACAATCGCACGACATAAACTTTAGAAGAATCTGAAATTAGTAAGTTTGAATCCATTGGCAACAAAAATAGTTGTTCCCCTAATATAACATTTTATAATCTGCTGTATTTAAATGCTGCAGTTTTCTGTATTTTTTAGTCTCCAGCTTAATTCATTTTTATCAATTAAGATTTGCACAGCTTTTCTTTTATGCAACCTAGTTTTCAGGATATAAATATTCATATTATTTATGTATTTATGAGATGGAGTCTTACTCTGTCGCCCAGGCTGGAGTACAGTGGCATGATCTCAGCTCACTGCAACCTCTGCCTTCTGGGTTCAAGTGATTCTCCTGCCTCAGCCTCCCAAGTAGCTAGGATTACAGGCGCCCACCACCATGCCCAGCTAAGTTTTGAATTTTTAGTAGAGATGGGGTTTTACCATGTTGGCCAGACTGGTCTCGAACTCCTGACCTCAGGCAATCCACCCACGTCGGCCAAAGTGTTGGGGTTACAGGCTTCAGCCACTGTGCCTGGACCATGTTATGTTAAAAATGCTTGTATTTTATAATTCATTTTTTTGTGACAGGATAAACATGATCCAAGAACCAATAAATGCACAAACTCAACAAGAAGTCGTCCTCATTATGGAAAACACAAGAAACCCACTCATCATGCAAAGATTCTTTGATTATGAAATGCTCATAGGCAAACAACAATAATACCAATACATAATAGTCATAGTGACCTATGACTCAAATAACTTCATTTGCTCTTCTATCCATCAGAGTTTTTGGTGAAGGGATCTATAGCATGATTTGCACCTAATGGGAACAAAGCTAGGTCACCGTGGACTTACATGGTGGCGTGTCTGTGTTGCACAAATACCCTGGCACCTGCCTTAGCCATCCAATCCCAATTTTGGAAGAAACTATGCATGCACATATTTTTTCTCTAATATGGCCACTTCTGCTGACAAATACAGGACGTAGAATTCAGAAAAGCAGGAAGAATGCTGAATTTTACACACCACTTTTTACATTAACAATAAAACTAAAGAAGTTTTCCCTTAACAATTTCCTTTGAACCATGAACACAGGAAAGCCACATGTTTGGAAAGGACTGTTTTGAGTTTGGTGTTTATAATGACCTCTGAATTTTTTTAAAAATGTGGTTTTTCTTTTAGCTATGTTCTTAATCTATTCTTGTTACTGGTATGAGACAAAATGATGACATCAGCAAAATATCTCCAGCTTGCCTTCTGACTCATTAATAGATTTCATGCTACCAGTATTAAAATTGATCCTGAGGGCAACCCCAACATTAACCTTTTTCCACTTGAGAAATCTGCCACACATTTCTCAGCTGCTTCCTATTTATTCTATGGTTTTAATCTGAGAAGAAAATTTTCCTCTTAATCCTTGGTCATTCACTTTCCTTAGGTTTATCTTGTAAAAAACTTTTTCGGAAGTTCTGAACACTGGAAGTCTAAACTGCAATAGCACTTTCTTTCCCATAGAACATCTGCCAGTTGACTTCATTTACTGCATTTCTCTCAGGTGAGCTTCCATTTAGTCTTGAAAAGAACAGTGAGAAACATTATTTAAATGCTCTAATAGCATAAATCAGCTGTTTCTGAAAAGCCAGGTGAAGATACTAAGTGACATGCGTAAATTTAAATTTCACCTATTGGCTAAATAACATATAATCTAGTAATTAAATGGAATCTAAGCTAGTAAAGTATATTTACAGGGTCTTGATTCTCTCCAGTAATAAAAACATACCTAAAAACATAAGTTAAAAAAACTTAAACATAACTAAACAAATAACAAACAACACAAGCCATGGATGTGTTTTTTGGTTTTTTTTTTAAATTTACATTCCTTTGATTCCTGTTTCTTTACATTAAATTTCAAAGATCAAAATGAATTGTATTAGATATTGTTACTTAAGTCCCAATTTTACTCTCCAATGAAGAATGCAAACATCTCCTAAAATATAAAAGGTTTTGAATATTGACATTCTTGCTAAAACATATTTCACAAACTTCTTTAGGTGTAATGAAAAATTCAAAATTATATAATAGAAGTTTGAAAATATTTTCTCAAAGGATTTATTTCTAATAGTGCTGCTGACTTTGCCAGTTATTTCCAGGAATAAGCTACAGTTGTCTCTGATAAAATAATAGCTAAAAAAATAAATTTACTCAAGGACCAAATTGGCTTTGTCTCAAAAGAGAAAGACTTCTGTTGTATACAGGTTTCTCAATCATGGTTACTTCTCCTTTCACATTAACTCCAGGATATCATGATAAGGTTAAGTATAATGGAAAACCAGTAACTGCAATGCTTAGGAGAATAGCTTCAAAAATATTTATGCTAGATATTCTCTATTTTCAAATGAACCGATGGACATATTTTAAAAATTAAGGAAAGTTTGGATGTATTCAGCAATAGCTATATACCAGGCAATTATTTAGGTGCTTTATGTGTCATTTTCTTTGGTTCCTACAACAACCACACAAAATAGTTCCTATCCTTCTCTTTGTATTAAAAATAAGGTTAAATGTTTTTTCCAGTCTCAGTGTTTCAGGAAGAAGTCTGATTCTTCAGTATTCCATTGTAATCCAATGAAATCTGAAAAAAAGTTAACTGAAAGAAATGTTGTTAACTAATTTCCCTGTAACTTTTCAATTTGATAATATTTTGTTATCATTATATAATTTTAAACTTAATCCTACTTTCAAGCACGACTAATATTAATTTTTTGCATGTCAATTCTAGTTTTTCCTATGCAAATCTATTCTTATAGACATGATTAGAATTGATATTATATTACTACTAATAATTTTGGTGTTTCAAATAATATGTAAAAATTGTATTCTTAAAGGTATTCTATGTAGGACAGCTTTCTTCTTTTAACAATTCTCACCTCAGAAACTTCTGAATGTTTCCAATCTAAAACGAGAGTATCATGAAACATAAATGTTTATCTCTATTTGAGGCTCTTTATTTTGAATATAGTAATCCCACTACTGGAAATCTATCAAAAAGACAGCATACACACTGCCACATGGCAATTTGTGACAAAGGTTAAATGCTAAGGAATTACCAAACTCATAAGCCAGAAACCAGGGAAGATTAAAAGTGTTTCCTTATGGTTGTATTTTATGTATGTATTGCTTATGGAAAAATTTCTTTACTTATTGAATATTAATCATGATAAAGGCAGAAAAGTATAATATTCTTAACTGCACAAGAAAAAGAAGAAAATGAAACATCAGGTGTGTTGGAGAATATCTTAGACAAAGAAGTCAAAACTTAAACTCCAGTTTAAATTTTTTTAAGGAAGTATTTCAACATGTACTTAATTTCAATTGTTATAGGGAATATAACGCTAAAGTAAAATTATGGCATATTTCACTAAAATGACATTTCTACTACTAAAAACCTAACTTTTCATTACAGGGGAAAAGAGGACTATAGCACAATAAACATGTTTCCCCATAACAACCCACTTCTGTATATTACCTTTTTTTCCTTCAGAATTGGAAGAGAAAAAAATAATTTTAGAAAATAGTTATTTGAAATAGGTTTTTATTAATCAATCAAAATATTTATTGAGTAATAACTATTATTCAGCAATAAATAAGAGTTGAGAAGAGGCATGCTGAACTTCAAGAGCTTTACAAAATAGTTGTAAAACTATTACTATGTAAAACTACAAAATCAAAAACTTTGAAAACATAACTTAAAAAATAAAGGTAAAATAAATTAGCCTTAAATTATAGTGCTGAGTACAGCTTAAATTCAGAGATTTAGAGATGACTCCAATGTAGAACAGAAGGGAGGAAATTTAGTTTTAATCAGACAATATCACTCCCAGTAGGGACTGATAGTCATTTAATATTTCCCTGGACAGATAGCTGCAAGTGATACAAATGTTAAATGGAAGTGACAAATATTTACTGTTCACAGGAGAAAATAAAAGTAAAATGACAACACTTGAATGATGTAATTTGTGTGTGTGTGTGTGAGGCTATCCAGGTTTTCAAATATTTCTGGTCAAATGATTGAAACATTATAAACAGTAACATTAAAATTATATTTTATCCTCATTCTAGTATAATAATCTAAAGGCTATAAAGAAACATAAGTACAAACTTATCTGCACAGAAAAGTTTTGTTTGAAAAAAGCATGTTAATACTATTTTGCATATGAAACTAAGGTAATTTAAAGAAACTCAAAGGAATAAGTCAAAACAGCTGCTTCCTTCTCCCTAAATGATTGCCTTTTTGGACTCTGTACCTTCCAAATGTTGAGTGAATTTTAAATGTCTTTTAATGTGCGGGGTTTTTTTTTCCCCATCCCAGCAATCAACTTGAAGATTACACCACACCTGCTCTCCTGTTTAAGTTTCACTTTTTCTGAACTTAGCACTATACTCCAAAAACTGAATTTAGCTTTCTGATTCTTGTCTAAAAAAATGAGTCAATATAGAATTTTTACTGATTTGTGACCATCGTTAACCATGTTTCTCTAGTGTTCAGAGATGTCTCATTCCATAAAGGGCAGTTAACACCTGTAAGGTAATTATATCTACCAAATGCTGTTGGCCAGGAATATGAATATATAATTGTTGCTGCCATCTGTTAATTGTTCTATTTGAATCACTTACTTCATCATATACACTTACCTGACATCTAGATATTTTTAATAGCCTCGAGAAATGTTACGTATGCTTGTAGCAGAGTTTATAAGTTTTTACATTATTAAGAAGGAATTTTTAAGTCTTTGGGGGAAGACACAAGTTAAATGGATAAAATAGCACATGTGTGCATGTATAGGGGTGGGGAGGAGTTTGGGGTTATTCTACTGAGGAGGAAGCCTGAATAAGAAGGTAAATCATTTTCAGAGAGAAACATTTAATAGAGAAGATAAGAGTATATTAGAAGATAGCTGGATAACGGAGGTGGAATCTTACCTGAAATCCTATAAATTGAAAAAGCACTATTGAGTTCTATCACAAGAACCCCTCAGCAAAAGAGACTGATAAAACTTCTTACCAAGGAGCTGAAAACTCTTTCAATGTAAACCTCTCTCTCTCATGACTTTAAACCTTAAAGTAGAATCCTCAGGTTCCATAGAAGGATTCAGAATTTCTGCAAATGTTTGATACACATTTTATTAGCAGTTTTAATAGCAATAAATGCTGTTAACACTGGGAGGAAATTTACCAGCTGTATGACTTTAGGCAAGTTTCTTCACTACTCAGTGCTTTGGTTTTATCACCTACAAATGAAGGATAACCGCAGTATGAAAATTAAAAGAGAATATATGTAGAGCATGCTTATCAGTGAATACCATACAGTAAGAGTTCAATAATTATTACCTATTATTATAATCATTAAGAAAATTCTAACACTTGGCAGACTAATAATATACTCAATTGTACTGTAGATTATTTTTCTGAAGGCTTCTTTTGCCCAGTTCATGCAGATGGTTGAACACTTTATGGATATGGCATGGTGTAAGTGGGTGGAATAGTGGGTCCCGAAACAGATGTCAACACCTGGAACTTCAGAATGGAACTTTATTTGGAATAAGGCTCTTTGCAGAGGTAATTAAGGATCTTAAGATCATATTAGATTTGGGTGGGCCCTAAATTCAATGATGAATATCCTTTTAAGAATCTGAAAAGGAGAAAACAGAAACATAGGAAAGATGAACATGAGAAGATGAAAGCAGAGATTGGAGTGATGCATCTGGAAGCCCAAAAATGCTAAGGAAAGCCAGGAGTCACCAGAGGCTGAAAAAGGCAAGGGAGCATTGTCCCTAGAAACTTCAGAGAGAGCATGGCACTGCAGACACATTGATTTTTGAGCTTCTGGTCTCCAGAACTTTGATAGAACAAGCTTAGGTTGTTTCAATTCACCCAGTTTGTGGTTCTTTGATAAACAGTTGTAGGAAACTAATACACAACTTAGGAGGAAATTTGTACTTTTTTTTTCTTTTAAAGGTCAGGCCTGCATGTACACAGGCTCTTGTAAAAATAAATTTTTAGAATAGTTATGCATTTACAGGAAATTTCCAAAGATAGTACAAAGTTCCCATATATCCATATAGCATTTCCTCTTACTAGCATTTTACATTAACATGGTATGTTTGTCAAAATTAATGAACCAATATTGGTACATTATTACTAACTAAACTCATTTTATTCAGACTTATTTAGATTTACTTAGTTTTTACTTAATGTCCTCTTTCTGTTCCAGGTTCCCAACCAAGAAAATTAATTACATCATATCTCCTTCATCTTCTAAGTTCTGTGAGTTTACCAGACTTCCCATGTTTATAGGACCTTAACAGTTTTAATACGAAATAGTCATTAGGTATTCTGCAGAATGTCCCTCCATTGGAATTTGTCTGAATTTTTTTTCATGATTATAAACTGAGTCTATGAGTTTTGGGGAGGGAAACCAGAGAGGTAAAGTGCCATTTACATCATACCACAGCAAGAGCGTATACTAACAACATGACTTATCACTGTGGATGCCGACCTTCACTACCTGGCTGAAGTAGTCTTTTAGAGCCCACCTAGATAGTTCCAAATAATCCCTTCATTAAAACTTGTTTTTTTTTTTTTTTCCTTGAGACAGAGTCTCAGTCTGTCACCCAGGCTGAAGTTCAGTGGCAACATCTCAGCTCACTGCAACCTCCGCCTCCCAGGTTCAAGCAATGCTCCTGTGTCAGCTTCCCCAGTAGCTGGGATTACAGGCATGCACCACCACAACAAGCTAATTTTTGTATTTTTAGTAGAGACAGGGTTTCGCCATGTTGACCAGGCTGGTCTCAAACACCTGATCTACCTCAGGTGACCCACCCACCACGGCCTCCCAAAGTGCTGGGATTACAGGCGTGAGCCACCATGAGAGGCCCTATTCATTAATTCTTAATCACACCTGTCCTTAGTCCTTAATCATATAAACATATCTGTTTAACACATTAGATATTACATAAGGTGATATTCACATTTCTGCCATGTAATGTAATCACATTATCTAGGAATTAGGATGTGGACACATCCTTTTGGGGGGTCATCAGTCAATCCACTACACCACAATTACAGTATCATTGTTTCATGGCCCTTAAAAAACTCTCAGTGCCTCACCTATTCAAACCTCTTCTCCTCCACAAACCTCAGGCAACCACTGATCCCTTTATCTTCTGGGATGGTTATTATTTTTTTTTTCTGTCAACTTAAAAGTTGTTTGTGGATGATATTAACATTTAATATATGCTTAATCATTTTGCCCTCCATAATGTGGGTAGGCCTTATCCAATCAGCTGGAGACCTGAATAGACAAAAAGACCAGCCTCCGGGAGGAAAAAAGAAATTCTCCAGCAGACTGCCTTCAGATTTTATCTGCAACATTTGCCCTTAAAAATTCATTTGCAACACTGGCTCCTCCATGAGTCATGAGCCTGCTGCCCTTTGAACTGAAACTGCACCATCAGCTCTCCTGAGTCTCCAGGCTGCCAGCCTTCTAACTAGAACTACCATTGACTCTCCTGTTCTCAAACCTGCTAAACTGCAGATTTTGGATTTACCAGCAGACATAATTTCATGAGCTGCTTTCTATAATTAATCCCTTTCTACAAATAGACACATTCTATTGTTTCAAATTTTCTGTACAATCCTAACTCATACATTGTCTCTATAGTTTTGCCTTTTAAAAAATGTCATGTAATTCTTCAGACTTGGTGATATAGCTTGAATCTGTGTCCCCACCCAAATCTCATGTTAAATGGTAATCCCCAATGTAGGAGGTGGGACCTGGTGGGAGGGGATTGGATCATGGTGGTGGTTTCTCAGGAATAGTTTAGCACCATACCCTGTGATACTGTCCTCATGATAGTGAGTTCTCATGAGATCTGGTTGTTTAAAAGTGTACAGCATCTTCCCCCATCCTGCTCCTGCTCCTGCCATGTAAGACACCTGCCTCCCTTTTGCCTTCTGCCATGATTGGAAACTTTCTGAGGCCTCCCCAAAAGCAGAAGCCACTATACTTCCAGTACAGCCTGTGGAACTGGGAGCCAATTAAACCTTTCTTTTGTTATAAATTACCCAGTCTTGAGTGTTTCTTTATAGCAATGCAAGAACAGACTAATACACTTGCCTTTGGGCTTTTCTTTTTTTTTTTTTTTTTTTTTTTTTTCGATGAAGTCTTGCTGTGTCCCTTAGGCTGGAGTGCAGTAGCTCAATCTTGGCTCACTGCAACCCCCGCCTCCCAGGTTCAAGCAATTCTTCTGCCTCGGCCTCCTGAGTAGCTGTGATTACAGGGATGCACCACCATACCTGGCTAATTTTTGTATTTTTAGTAGAGACAGGGTTTCACCATGCTGGCCAGGCTGGTCTCGAACCCCTGACCTCATGATCCACCCAGTTCGGCCTTCCAAAGTGCTGGGATTACAGGCCTGAGCCACTGTGCCCAGTCGCCTTTGGGGTTTTAAAAAATAGTTATATTATTTGAATCATACAATATTTAGCGTTTTCAGACTGACTCCTTTCACTGAGCAATATATATTTAAGACTCAAGCATGTTTATGTATAAAGTGATAGCTAATTTCTTTTTTTGCTATTTTAAGGCTTTTTTTTTTTAAAGTTCTGGGATACATGTGCAGAACATGCAGGTTTGTTACATAGGTATACATGTACCATGGTGGTTGGCTGCACCTATCAACCCGTCATCTAGGTTTTAAGCCCCGCATGCATTAGGTATTTGTCCTAATGCTCTCCCCTCCCTTGCCCCCAACTCTCTGACAGGCCCCAGCGTGTGATGTTCCCCTCCCTGTGTCCATGTGTTTTCATTGTTCATTTATGAGTGAGACAAGCAACAGCTCATTTCTTTTTATTCCTTTTTATTATTGAATAGTATTCCACTGTGTGCATATACCACCATTTCTTTATTCGTTTGCCTACCAAAGGGCATTTGGGTTGCTTCCAGTTTTTGGTGATTTTATATAAAGCTGCTTATACATATTTGTATGCAGGCTTTTCTGCAGAAATAAGTGTTTTTGTTTTTGTTTTTCTTGATATGGAGTCTCCCTCTGTGGCCTAGGCTAGAGTGCAGTGGCATGATCATGGCTCACTGCAGCCTCAACTGCCCGGGTGCAAGCGATCTTCCCACCTCAGCCTCCCAGGTAGCTGGAACCATATGTGTGCAGCTCCACACTTGGATAATTAAATAAAAAAATCTGGAGAGTCAGTGTCTCATTATATTGCCCAAGCTGGTCTCAAACTTCTGGGCTCAAGCAACGCTCCCATCTTGGCCTCCCAAAGTGCTGAGGTTATAGGGGTGACCCATGGCACTCAGCCCAGAAATAAGATTTTGAATCAATTAGGTAAGAATGTGATTGCTGGATAGTATCTTAAGACTATGCTTAATTTTGTATGAAATGTCAAAGTAACTGTACCAACTTGCATTGCCACTAGCAATAAATGAAAATTCCTGTTTGTGTCACATCCATGTTAGCAACTGGTACTTTCATTTTTTTTTTTTGGTGGATATTAGTCATTCTAATAGGTTTAGAGGGGTATGATGTTTTGCTAATTTGCAGTGTTGAAAAGACACTACTTTCTTCATTGGATCATCTTTGTGTCTTTGTTACAGAGCAGTAAACTATATTTGTATATGTCTATTCTGGGTTTTCTGATATATTTCATTGATCTATATGTCTAGTATTTCTCCAATACCACATTATCTTGACTACTGTAGCTTAACAGTTATTCCTGAAATTGGTTAACTGTAGTACTCCAACTTTTTGTTTTCCTTCTTCAGTACGACTATGTTTGCTATTATAGGTCTTTTGCCTTTCTACATAAACTTTAGAATTGGTTTATTGATTATCTACAAAATAGACACTGGGACTTAGATTGAGATTTTGTTGAATCTTAAGATCAAGTTAGGAAGAACTGACATCTTAACAATATTGAATCTTCTATTCCATGAACACAGAATATCTCTTCTTCATTTATTGTGTTTTTATTTCTTTCATCAGTGTTTTATAGTTTTCCCAATACAGACCCTATATGCACTGTATTAGCTTTATACCTAAACAATTACAACAGCGATGCAATGTCTTGTCCTGCTTATGACCTAGGATTTTATGTAGCTGAACAAGCTCACTTTCTTGATGCAAGGTCACAATGTTACCTGTAGGGAGAGTGTCTTTGATGAAACTAGAACTTGCCTTTTAGACGCAGCATGCAAACTAAAGGAAAAATGGCTATTTACAAACTCAATGTCTGACTAAGCAGAATATTGACATATCTGAGATTACTTCAAAATATTATCTTTCAATAATGATTGGTGTACTCCATCTAAACTAAACTCTTTGCCTGGTAAGCATGGTAAGCAGCAGTTAAATTTTCTTAATGACTCAGCATTAAAATAATTTCCAATTATTCCTCTTTCAAGCCTGTGGATCAGCTTACTAAGAGACTGTCCTGTGATTTCAAAATAAACTATTAATATACCCTTTTAAAATGATGTGTATTATTTATACTAATAAGGATTTTCCAGACACCATGAAACCAAAACAAAATGTAGAAATTAATGAGAAGTTAAGGCCAATATATGATGGCTGCTATCATCTAAAACCAATGAAGTTTAGTTTTTGCTTTTATCAAAATACTCTTTCACTTACTGGCTTATAAGGAAATTTTATAAAGTTTTAAGATAATTATATCTTTATAAAGTATTTATTGAACTTTCACACTAATTTCATTTTTTAAAGTAGCTTTCAATGTTAAAGAATCAGTAATACATGTAATACATGAGGATCAAAATCTGTAGTTTGCATAGCAAGTCAGACAAGGTGATCTCGAGTCATCTTTCCATCTTCTTTAGAATCTCACCCCACCCTCCCAGCCTCACTGCTTATACAAGCATAGGCACTGTGCTTCAGCTTGGAAGACCCTCTTCTTTTTCCTCATTGGTTTACCAAAACCACTCCTATCCAAATTGCCCTTCAAATGGACACAGGTACAGCCGTCAATTCTCTTCCCTTGATTCCCAGAACACTTTGAGTGAACATCATTTTGGCACATCATGACCAATTCATTGAGAGCAAAATCTGCACAATACTGTGCTTCTCAAAAGAGAGTACTTGTGTATTCACAGGAAAAAGGAGAAACCACAAGAAAACTCTGGTGAACCTCCTCTGGATTCTAAAGAGTTAAGGTAGAAATCACAATAACATGCCAGAAGAAAGAATACAGAATTCCAACAAAATTTTAAGATACAGTAAAAACTTTTGAAGGAATTTTTCTGTTGCAGATGAATAAATCAAGCTATACACTCAACTCTCAAGAGGCAGTCATTCTTTTCTAATGCTAGAGTTACTTGATAGGAAGGATACTTTTGTACGTTCACAAGCTAATATGAAGTACCAAAAAGATTCATTTGAAACAGATGATAAATGAGTGCTGCACAGAAATGACATGAACCAATACTTCAATGTACTGCAACAAGAATTCTTTCTATCAAAGATGTTACTAGTGCCCATTTTGAAAAGTAAGGCCTAAACAGGCCTATTGATTTCATCAGGACATATTTCCACTAATTGCACATACTGCTTATGTGAACCACGATTTGTACAGATAGAGATCTTGATGTATTCTAGGTCTTCTTTCTTGCTTTGAATATTATACAATTTGCCTTATCAATTATCTGTTTAAGTTGGCTTGTAATTCTGACTACATGTATTTCTTTTCATTCTGATTATTACACACTTAAGCTCAATAATCTCCTCAACTGATTTTTCAGTACCTCTCAGAGTAGGCCATCTCATCACTGCTATTCAAGAAAGAGGTAATATTCCAATGTTATTCATGTGTGGTGCATGTTTTCATTAATAATGTGGCTTGTCTGAAAAATAAAATTATTTCTTGCCTTATTGCTCCAGATTCTGCTGTTATTCCATGATAGTGCTAGACTTTTTTTCATTAGAACACCCATTAGCTTTGATCACCAGGAATTAAGTATTCACCTAAATTTCATTGATATTCTCAGGTTCTTTTTGTTACATTCATATTAGAAACATATTGCACACTACCTTCAACAACAACAACAGAATACTCAGTAAATGTCTGCTAAATAGAACTGAAGAGAATAAGAAATGCCATCACTTTTCTGAGATACAGGAGTCAAGCAAAAGTGAGGTGATATATCACTCCTAATAAAAACAGTGTGTACAGACGAATGTATAAACATAATGGCATATGCAACACATTTACAAGTTGAACATCATTACCTTCAGAACAATCTCAAACTAATAGTATTTAGAAAAAAAATTAAGGTATTGCATTTTATTAGGCATGTCCCTACTCCCATTTTGTATATACTTTATTGTCATTTCACAGCTAGATGTGTCATCATGTCAGTTGAGAACATTAATCTTGCTTAGGCTGAAAGGAAAAAATGCCATCCAAGGAAAGCAATGAAGCATTTCTCTATATCTTTTATGTTTAAAGGCTTTCTGAGTGTCATCAGATAATGTCACATTCAGACAATCATCTTGCCAGTTCTGAATGTACTACTCTGCTTGTATTGCTTGGCAAAAAGATAGAATAATACAGTTAGAGTTATGATATGGTATATTTTCTCTAAGTCATAGAATGTTTTCAGATGACAATACTGCAGACATTAAATAATTGCTTAAGTCTAAACAGTAAGGTGCCTTGATGTGGAATGTAATTTGTTCTAATTATTCTGGTTATAATTTTTCTATCTCACATTTTAAAGTTTCATTTCTTTACATAGCTAGAATATCAAATCTATTTCTGCAAACATTATATTTTCTCAAAGGATAGGCTCTCAATAATAACTCTTGCAATGAACAGAAAGCCTGCCTTTCTTCAAATCAAGAATACGAGACATACTTTGTTGCCCGGGCATATATGAAAGCCCTAAAAAAATACTCCAGTGTCTCATTCAGTGAATGGTCCCACTGAGTTACGAGCTAGAAATCTAGAAGCCTTGCTCACCTAACCCTATATTCCTCTCTTACTAAGTCCTAAAATTTTTTTCCTTTATCTTTTGAATCTGTACAGTCCACTATCTACACATTAATCCAAGGTAGTGAGATAAAAATAGTCATTATCGAGTGAAAGGGTTTCATTTAGGAAATGCTGGTTAAACAAACTAATCCTGATCACCGTAAGACTTGTGAGCCTTGAAAATGTTTTATTGTAACTCTCCAAGGCATATTTTGAAAATTCATTTGGCAATTACATTAAACACTCAGGGACTATTTGACCAGAAAATGGAATGGTTTTGGCATAGAAACGGAGAGATTTCACCTCTGATTTAGATACCCAAGGCTCTGAAAACAGACACATTAAGGAATAAGGAAGTACCGATATAAAAAAAAATTGAATAACTGAATTATAGTCTAAGAAATTTGGTCTGAATGTTGCAAAGTTCTGGGCTAGCTCCTCCACTCCAGAATTACATAATTTATTGTTGCATGAATGAGTATTGTTTGTCTTGTGTCTTATATTTTCCATCCATTTCATATCCTTATGGATTTACACATGTCTACTTTTTGCTCTACTTCTCAGACACCTTGTGCACCATTTTCTTTCTCTTTTCCATTTTAAGGAGAGAGAATTGAAAGGGGTGTGGTACATTGAAGAGAAAAATCAATTCCCAAGAAGCAGTAAAAAGCATAGCTGAAATAAAGGACTACAGATTGTGCAGGGACAGAGCTTTGAGCATTCTATTCATGCCATGGCTTTCTTTCAAAGTCACTGGAAGATAAAGAAGCAATTGTGACTTTGGAAATCTTCCACATACAAGCTGTGTGTTGCTTGAAAAACTACTTCTCTGGTAGCAAAAAACATGGGTGATCAGTTCCAGGAGCGGGGAGGGCTACACAAACCATGCCTGACTTAATAAAAATCTATGCGGAGCCACATCGGATGAACGACCACTATGAATGCTCTAGTCTGCATCTACTTGGGATGGTAGTGGTGGGGGATGGCAGGTGCATATTTGGAAACAGGTAGCCTATTAACTACTTTTCAACAGTAAAATTAGCTCTTTTCTGTTTCCAGGCATCTGAGCATCTCAGCATATAATAAAAATTCATCTCTCACTGCAGTTCTGGCTGAAAATCTTCCAGTGTCCCTCTGACCAGAAGTAAAATTAGGACGCCTGCAGAACAATATGCCCTCCTTCAAGTCAAGTACAGTTGTATCATTGTGCTTGTTTTAAATTAACGAGGCTCAGTTTTAAAAGGGGTATCTCCAAACCACCATCTCTCTGTTTATACGAAAGCATGAATAACTTTTCAAAGATTGTTTTTTCACTGTGTTTATTTAATGTCAAATTAGAGCCAATGAATGCTGTGATAATGTCTTGTAACATAAATTGAAAGTTGAAAAATGAGTCATCACTTTTTTGTTATTGTTCTTGGCTCTGATCTCTTTAAGAAAAATATCATACTGGTTAATAGTTTGTTTATAAACTATTTAAACAAATTAGTCCCATTGATGCACAAAAACTATGTCTTTAAAGGTCAAATCAATTTTTTGAGACAAATAATTACAAACTGCTTTGCTCCTAAAATTTCCACATTTGTACCTAAAGCTATGAAATAAAATGCTCAGTAAAATGAAATAAAATGAAATAAAAGCACACTAAAATACTATAAAAGACAAAAGGTCAAATAGTTACAGGCTGTGTGTTTTATTTTTTAATTTTAATTTTTATTTTTTGAGATGGAGTCTCACTGTCACCCAGGCTGGAGTGCAGTGGCGCGATCTTGGCTCACTGCAAACTCCGCCTGCCGGGTTCATGCCATTCTCCTGCCTCAGCCTCCTGAGTAGCTGGGACTACAGGCACCCGCCACCTCGCCCGGCTAATTTTTTGTATTTTTAGTAGAGATGGGGTTTCACCATTAGCCAGGATGGCCTTGATCTCCTGACCTCGTGATCCGCCCGCCTCGGCCTCCCAAAGTGCTGGGCTTATAGGCGTAAGCCACAGCGCCCAGCCCAGGCTGTGTGTTTTAAAAATGAAAACTAGTGCCATCAGTAATAGTCTCTTCCTCTGATTCTCCCTTTCCCCACCGGGGCCCACACTAGAGAACAGCAGTCATGTTGGGCTGTACTGTAAATCTTTCCTGTATTACGCTGATGACACCACTACTATGTGAACAAAACATAAGTGACATTAGTTAAATTTATGGCATACTTGACTTTCATTTAGCATGTGAATATCATACTCATAATATCCTCCACAAAATTATTCCCACCATACACAACCTGTGTTCTACATATGCTACTGCAAGTCTAATAGATAAAACGGCAAAAACTAATGGATATGACAAACCATCCTTCATGTCCTTTTATAATGCTTTGTTGCCCATATAAGATACAAAATTGTCCTGATTTTTTTCCATCAGCCCCATTTGAACATCTAGGTGTCAGCATCTTCCATTCTAGTTAGAGAACAACTTTCTACAGAAAGTCACTCAAAAATTACTGAGACTGACTCATATGAACACCTCAACTATAAAATGAAGTAGAACTGATACATTTCTAACAAAAACTCATTAGTCAAAAATTCCACCATAAAAAAGATACGTGCATGCTGACAATTTCTGCTCAGGGTATTTATACAGAAAGAGAATAATAACATCTATTTAAAACTGTATGTTGAAAAACAAACAGAAATTTGACATTTAATTTATAGTTTGATTTTTTCTTGTGTGATACTATATAACAATATTAGTTTAGACAAGATGAATAGAATGATGTGACTTATAAGATATAATCCTGACAACGGATATCTACGGTTTATTTCAGGTTTAAAATTTGTATTATTTTGATATCTAAAGTAAATATCAAAAAGAACACATTTTCATATATGACATATATAAATGATGAAATAAATTTGAGAATATAAGGAATCGGTATTTCTCATTTTTATGGACAAAATTTTAAAAGTAGTGTGCAGATATTTTAGATTTCATTTTTTACCTTGAAATATCCATATGAAGTGGTTACATTCAATTTAAGTTTACATGTTAATCATTTATGATCAAAATTACATCTGAGCTAATATTTTTAAATTTTTTGGAAGATAAGAAACATCAGGCTTATATTTTGATAAAACATATTTCACAAACCCAAAATTAAAATTGGATTTTTTGTGTGGTAGAAAACAGAAAAGCTACAAGCAAGCAAAAACCAAAAATACTTTCATAGCTATCTGAATGAAATAATAACTAAAGAAAGGCTTTTTTTTTTTTTTCCCCTGAGACAGGGTCTCGCTATGTTGCTCAGGCTGTTCTCGAACTCTTGGGCTCAAGTGATCTTCTCGTCTTGCCTTCCAACGTGCTAGGATTACAGGCATCAGCCACTACACCTAGCCTAAAGAAAGATTTTAAACAACAAGAAATACACTGATGTTGTGGGCCCTCACATATTTATGGCAACTCCTTATCTTTTATTTCCCCCAAATTTATAATAAGAATATAAAATTCCAATATTTTAAGAATCAAATTCTGCCCCTTGCAACCAAAGTGACAAAACAGTTTTGACAACCTATGAGCTTTTATTGGCCCTAAGTGGGTCTAATAATACTATTATTGCAATATCAAATAAATATATTTACCAATAATTAGCAATAAACTATATTTGTGAGGAAGGATATATTTCCATTTCCATAGTCAAATGCAACTATATAATACAAAACAAACATACTTATGTATTTATAGCTTTTCTTAGGACATGCGCATATTTAAAAATTATTCCTGAGTTTGAACTGCTCCTTGGTCTGTCTTATCTCTTGTCTCAGAGCCCGTATTTTTTGAATTCTACTGATGATATAAAAATGATCTTTTCTAGAGAGATTTGTTAAACATCTTGTTCTACTCTGCCTTGTGATAACTGTATTTTTCAAAACTTAAATTTCAGAACATTTTATAGTCACCTGTGATAGTTTTATGCGTCAGCTTGGCTAGGCTATGGTGCCCAGGGTTTGGTCAAATATTAGACTGGGTGTGCAGTGAAGGCATTTTGCAGATGTGATTAACACTTAAGCAGAGCCAGGCACAGTGGCTCACCATGTCTGTAATCCCAGCACTTAGGGAGGCCGAGGCAGGCTGACCACTTGAGCTCAGGGGTTCAAGACCAGCCTGGGCGATGTGACAAAATCCCATCTCTACAAAAAATACCAACATTAGCCAGGCATGGTGGTGCACACCTATAGTCCCAGCTATTCGAGAGGCTGAAGTGGGTGGAGTGCTTGAGCCCAAGAGGTCGAGGCTGCAGTGATTGTACCACTGCACTCCAGCCTGGGTGACAGAGTAAGACCCTATCTTAAAACCAACCAACAAATAAACAAATCAATCACTTAATCAGTAGACTTTGAGTTAACAGATTTCCCTCCATAACGTGGGTGAACCTCATCCAATAAGTTGAAGGCCTTAAGAGAAAAAGACAAAGGTCCCTAGTAGAGGAAGAAATCTGACTCTAGACTGCCTTCAGACTCAAGATTGCAACATCCACTATTGCAAGAATTTCCGGCACGCCCTGCAGATTTCAGACTTATCAGCTTTCACAATCTTGTGAACCAATTTAAAATTAATCATTCAATCACACACACACACACACACACACACACACACACACACTCTCCTAATAATTTAGTTCTATTTCTCTGGAGGACCCTAATATATCACCACATTTTGTTTTCTTCTCTATTTAGTCTTAGATAAGGCAAGGTCTAACCATGATTGATGTGTGCTCACAAAAAATATGTGGGGTTTCCTTTTTTCCACTCTCACTATTCCTTGAACTACTGTTGAACTATGTTTCTTGACCAGCTGGAGGACTGGTTGAAGGAGAGGGCTGGACCCAAGAGCAGTGGTGCTCTTCCCTGGTGGTTTGGTAAAGCCACTGTGCCATGGTCCACCTTTCACTTTGGCTCCCTTAGATATAAGGAGTTGTTGTGTCTAAGCAACTTTATGCTGCCTGTACAACAGAAATGTCTGTTCACTTTTGCCTTGTTATCACATGTATATGAAACTTGGGGATTCCCAGAACTGTTTTTCAATGTGGTTGAGATTCAGCCTAGGGAGTGAGCCTGAAAGGTGTATGGCCAGCCTGCTCCACTGCATTCTCATGCACTTTGCTCCATTCACTCTGTTTTAGAAACAAGGCCTTCTTAGCTAAATCCTGCACTAGGATATCCCTATGCCCTCTGAGCCTCAAAATGCTGCTAATTCCATATGCTGTTGATTTATAACAGTGAAGCTAAGTCTATGAGATGTGCACTGGGTTTACCCTGAATGCCACAATCACGTTTACATTTAGAGGTTGGCCATTGTGATCAAGTACTCAAAAAATAAAAAAAAATAAAAATAAAAATAATAAAAAAAAACAAGAAAAGAATAGCATCTGGTAGAGTTTTAAGAAGTCGTCAGATATACCAATGAATAAGATGTTATGAGCTGAACTGTGTCTCCCCAAAATTCGTACGTTGAAGCCGTAACCTAACTCCTAATACCTCTGAATGTGACTTCATTTGGAGATATTAAAGTTAAATGAGGTTTTTAGGGTGGGGTCCTATTCCAGTATCTCTGGTGTCCCATAAGAAGAGAAAGAGATATCTGGGATGTGAACACACTTAGGAAAGAACACTGTGAGGACACAGTGATAAAGTGGCCATCTGCAAGCCAAGGAGAGAGGCCTAAGAGGAACCAAACCTCCTGACACTTTGATTTCAGACTTGCAGCCTCCAGAACCATGGTGTTTAAGCCACCCAGTTTGTACTAATTTGTTATGGCATCCTAGGCAGACAAATACATATGGTATCAAAAAATGAAGAAATAAAACATCTGAGAAAAGCATTACATATAGGGATTAAGGTGCTTCCCTGAGCTGCGCTATTTACTGATCAAACACACATCCCATCTAAATTTTCGTGATCTAGGATCGGAATGTGTAAGGGAAGATGCATAATTCATTTAATAAAATGGCATCCTTAGGCTCTTACTTTTGATTCAAATATTTTTTTATGAAGTTGTATAAGGGTATATTTCTTCAACTTTAGCTTTTTAAAAAATGCCTTTTTGTTGCCTTCTCATGTGAAGACTTACTTAATCTGGTATAAAATTCTTGGCTAGGTACCTGTCTGCAAAACACTGTAGATGCAGTTGTATTTTCATTAGGATTTTACTGTTGTAGCATAATTCTGAAGTATTTTTATTGTTTTAAAACCACTATCTTATTTCTTTCTGTTTTTGTATTTGTGGACAAGGGTGGAGCTATACTTAACTTGGGTGATAGCCAACAAAGAAAATGCATTCTTCACTCTTTGGCCCACTTCATATGCCCTTCTGTAATGGCCGAATCCATTGCTCAGAGCTGGATGGCTAGTCCACGTACATGGTTTCTATCCAAACCCCAGAATCTATCCTCTAGGGATCTTCCACAGTTCTGAAGTGGACCTTATTGTTCTCCAATAGCCCAGTGCACTAAGTTCAGAACTGCTGGAATGTGTACAAAACTAGACACTGCTGCATAAACCACTACCCTAGCCTCTTCCTATCTGTTTTGCTTGTAGGGTTCCACTTGTGAGAGCTATACTCTGCAGGGGACAAAATATAACCATGTCCCCTCCTCCCTATTTCTCATTTAATTACTTTCTGAATACATACTAAAACAGATAGGTACTTGCAGAAGGGGTTTGCTTTGTTTGAAAAGCAAAATTTATACAATATATGAGTAGCTTCCAGTTCCCAGTTTAAAGAAACCTTTTATTTTGAGCCATGCAGCTTTTTACTTATTGCCTTAGGGCAAACTTAGCTCTATTTCCAAAAGTGTACATAGGTAAGCCACCAATTGCACTTGAAAATCTAGTTCCATCAATGGAGTGGGGGATAAGCATGTAGGATAAAATGGTAATAGTAACATACAGGAGGTGGGTACGCAAGTGTCCATTAGAAAATTATCTTAACTGCTATAGTTTTGAAATTTTATGTAACTAAATGTAGGAAAACAATTCCAGAATTCCTCTCAAATTCTGGCAGTAAGCGACAATCAGTCTATATTATCCATACTACGAACAGATATCTCTTTGTGTGTCTTCATAGTCAATTTACTGGAAATTTTTGGAAGGTTGTGTCCAGGGCTGCTAGCCAGACACCACTTAAAATAGAAATCTCAGTATACCTTTGCAGTAATACATAGTTATTTACTGAACCCAAACAGCATCCAAGATAGTCTTTTAGAAGTAATGGGAGGCTCATAATCTAATAAAGAATAGCCAAAGTAATTATACTAAATGTTCCCACTAGCTAAAATAATACAGTAATGCAAAATTTAGTAGGTCATATGAAACATTCCAGGCAGTAAAGGAAGAGCTTATATAGCTCTTATGAATTATTTCAAATAATGGCAAGTAATAATACAAATAAATAAATAAATGAAGCTCACCCCACAAAACTGGTATATCCCACATCAGGTATTTTTCTTGCCCATTTGAAATGTAAACATCCGGCACATATTTAGAAAGACACAGATATTTGACTTACAAAATATACAGCTTTATAAAAATAAAGACTTATTATTATCAAGGAAGGATGTGTATTTGGACCTGTGCCACATGACACTTCCTTAAAAGAGCTAATATATACCTGGTCCCGAAATTAAAGATGGAAATAATCCACGTGTTCTTGTTTAGATATTATGAAACAAAAGAGATACTGAACATGTATTTTCACTATAAATACTGGAGAATGGTCAGAATAATTTCATCATGCCTAGTAGAGATGGCTTTCTGGCCAGCCCCAGATGAATATAAAATAGTTTTACAAACCATATTATTAAGTTACAAATCTGATTATTTCCCTTTTTAATTATTTCCTGTCTCACAACGGGAAAAAATAGATGTGCAACCTGGCTTACTGAGCACTGATCAACAAGGATGGGGTAATCCTCTTGAACTCTGATTTATGTATGTGACAATTTCATTCCTTATTCAAGAAGGTCCAATGTTTCTGCTATACCTTAAAGATTATTGTCCTATGGACTTATCTAAACCTTCCTCTGAAAGTCTCCTTGGTGTGTTCACCACACTGATTTTTTTATTCTTATTTTTTAAAAACAGCTCTGATTTTTCTAATCTCTTCTTCAATTAAGTTAAATCACCCTCACTTGTCTTTATTCCTATTTAATTTGCTAATCAATTTCACTTTTTTATACAAAAACTATTTCTATCAATCATCTGGGACTTCAAGCAACTAGGTGTCCTGTCTTTACAGCATCAGCAATACTGAGCCTTTCACAGCCTCTGTTTAGTTTTCAGAGTGGCAGAATAGGAGATAAAGAGTCTTCTATTTGGGAAACTTAATGGACATGTTCTATAATCACTTGAGTGCTCTCTCTGCAGACAGCACTACTCATCATCAAACAAGTCACATGGGACATACAAAGGAAAATGACAAGGTCTATGCACCCCCAAGAGGGGTGAATAAAATGAAGTATGGTGTATAGGCAATTAAGGAATACACACAGTGGAATCTATCAGTGAAAGTTCAGAGTAGGGGAGAATAATGTGAGCTAAAGCAGCCTAGAGAAAAATAGCATGAAGTCAGAGGACAGCGAGGAATGAAAGAGAATATGTCTAGCAGGAGTTTATGATCTGGTCAGAAAACAGTGGGAGGCAAAATTAGATGGACAGAGAACAACAACATTATGGAGAACGAACAACATTATGGAGAACATTGGATGAAGAATTTGAACTTCCTGCAAGCAGTGGTAAACCTCTGCAGGTTCTGAGTACAGGAATCAAGAATGTTAAAAACAGTATTAAAAAAGTAGCTGCAATAGTCCATCTGTGAAGTGATGAGAGCCCGATAGGTAAAAGCTATCTCAGACATTTTAAGAATAAAATGTCACACACACAAAGTCACTAATATAAAATGAGTGAAATTTCATGAAACTATAGTTTAAAGGGCTCCTCTCTTCTTTTTGCTTAAAGGTACCCTACTGAGAACCTAGATACAAAAACAGGTTTTAACATGAACAAAGAAGTGTGAAACTTTGAGGAAGGTCTTTTGAATGATCAGAGTTCCTTTTAATTACAGTCAATGAAGTCAATAAATCTCTTTTCTCCTTTCCCCTTTTCTCTCCATCAATCTCTGCCTCTCTCTTTCTAACACTAATCTGAATGTACAAACATATCTAAATCCAGGTTGCCCTTCATTGCCAGTTTCTGATGAGTCATCTGGACTTCAGAATCAACATCCAGGAGCTCTGAGTAAATCACGCAGTACTGAAGAGTCCATGAGAATAGACTCTGTTCTACTTCTCCCAATCTAAATGCTGTCAGATACTAATAACTTGGTTTCAATTCTATACTTAACAGTGCCAAGGTTTTGCTTTTATTTCACTAGCAACATTTTTTTTTAATCCAAATCACTGGTGTTGATTAATTAAAAAGAAAATTGAGACACCAGAAAGCAGGGTGCCAACAAATGCTGGGAACACTCTTGGACTACTCAGACACTGTCATTCCATCTCCTCCTCTGCAATGGAGAAAGATGTTTTCCCATCTCCTGTATAAAATGCTATTGCACCCCTATCTTGCATCCAGATACACAAGTTGCAACATTGCTTCCAGACTCCTTAGCACTCACATTATTTAGAATTCATTCTATACCTGGCAACCTACATGAATAACATTTATGACAGCTGAACATGTTATTTTACATTACTCTGAAGAATAACCCTAAGCATAAGGCATTACTTACAGTCAGATCAACAAATTAAGGAGAATGTATTTAAAATCCTATAAGGGTAAAAGAGAATTTGTACAAGTGGCCTTTGAAAATTAAAAAAATATATAAACATTAATTTTTTCCTTTAATCTGAAGCATTACCTTTCAAATAAATACCTCAAGGAATGCTTTTTAGTAGTCAAATATCTCATAATAAATGTCAGGAGCTTGTCTACAACACCTCTACTTTACCAGGTCCATCCCTAGCTTGAATTGTTATAGTGTCTTTAGTTCCCTGATTCTTGCAACAAAATTGATTTGAATACATTGACTACTGATCTGTACGTAGGTAATTTCCCAAAAATTTATAGAAAAATTTTTTTTCAAGAAAGAGTGAATTATTTGAACTACTGGATTTATGCTCAGAATTATCATCATCATTGTCGTCATCAGGATGTCCATTTTACAGATAAACATTTTCAGAAGAAAAGGCCAGATCAAAATAAAGAAGGTAGATATAAGCAGTTGACTTTTCAGACTTAATTTTTCCTCAGTTTTCACACTAGACAATACTTTTAAATTCACACAAAGGCTTAGTTTTCATTTTAAATAAATAGTTTTTTATTGGTAGGAATGATCTAATATCCCTTAAATGTGGAGGATTCATTATCCAAAGATGAAGGAGGACTACAGTATTTTGCTTTTACACAAAAGTAGAAGACTTTGTTCAGTACCATGTATAAGGGAGAATTATTTCTATGGCTTCAAGACTATCTCTGTATCCCTCTTTTCTTCTAGTAAACCTAATAACTTGCACCTTTACACATAATGAATTTTGACTACCTATTAAACACAACTTGATTTCTTCATTGGTGAGAAAAATTTATGCACAGGAAGAGTTGATTCTTGATGGAACTAAAGTACAAAGGAAGATCTGGATTATTTTATTTTGCTTGATATTTTATTAAATAGTGTTCAAAATTATTGTACTGTAAATGAAACCTTGAAAATGTATAACTAAAAATGTATTCTGCTATAGTAATACAAATTTCCTTAAAGGTCAGGGGAACAGTCTTGACCAAGAAACATAAAATTTCAGTACAAATTATTGACAAATAATAATATATTTTAACAAACACTAGAAAAAATATATATTATAGATTAACACGGAACGAATCATTATATCTTTACCTTCATAAAAGTTACAAAGAACATTGTGAAATAAGCTCTTCTAAAAGACATAAATATGTGAGGAGATTTTAGAATACTTTAGTCATTCACATATAACTTGGAAAGAAAAACAAAAGCATAAACAAAACAAAACTCCTCACCTAAAATCCTGTTGAGATTTGGAGTATGGAGTCCTCCAACAGCAAAAGCAATATAAAAAAAAAATGATCTGAGTGCAAACCTGAGGTATAGCATTTTGACTATCTTTTAAACAGCTTCATTATGTGTTAAAGCAACTGTTTTGAGCAGCTAGAGATGTATTAACTCAATTTTGATAGCAAGAGCATTTTATATTTATTTACTTTGTTTATAAAATTGTTCCATTTCCTCTTGGGCTTGGGTTTCTCAAACTGCCCTTTTTGACCCACTGGGATGAATTTAGCAATGTGTTCAATCCTCACATCATATAGAAGCCAGAAGAATATTTAAATTATTTTCTGGTTTTGCTTTCAATTTTATAAGACTGTTCGTTTTTAAACAGCAGATGGTACAATATATTGCCCCATCTAAATTAAGATAAATCTTTCTTCCTTCCAAATATCAAATTATTTCTGATAATCAACAACCAGCTCTCCTCTCTTACTCCTTAAACACATATTATACATTAATGTATATGTGCATTTAGTTATATATTCACTATGTGCATATACATACATATATGCATATGTCAAGTATATGCATATGTATGTGTATATATACATAGACCACATAGATACAATACAGCTATTGTAAATGACAATCTATGACCTTCCTTTCTCTAGTTATCACCCTAGAATCAGAGAGCAGAAGCCTTTCAGAACAAAGTCTCAACAAGCAACACAAATTTATTCATTTTTACTTAAAATTCAAATTGAGAGGCCTGCAAAGAAACTGATAAGCTGTCTGGTAGAGTATAAAGTCTACCACAGGCCATAAGATCTTGCACAGATAGATTAAGTGTAATGAAGTAAAGGGAATACATATCATCTAGGATGAAGAAATCCATCATAGCTTTCAGCTAGACAAGTCAAACATTGGAAGCACCGTATAGCATTCCATTGGAAGTTAAGAAAACAAATTCTCCCATGTGTGTGTGTGTGTGTAAAATATATGGGTATATATAAAATATATACATAATATATATATACACACACACACGTGTGGTTTTCACAGACATGTCTCCTCCAAATGCAAACATATTTCTTACAGATAAAAATTTAAAGCAAAAATGTGAAGTTTTTTAAATAAAGAAGTGGACTCAAGAAAATTAGAATGTGTAAAGAAAAAAATACCAGTAAGTCTTACATTTCAACAAAAATAAAGATTAATTTTAATAAGGAGTGACTGTCCTTCTATTCATGCAATGCCTTATCATCTAAGTATCCTGGTGTCATGCATATAAAATGCATTTCTACACACAAAAGAAAGCTTTGGTACTATCATATATAGGGCATGCTATATTTTAAACCAAAACCAAGTAGAGACAATTTGGTACATTGTTTCTTCACATAATTACAAATTATTGTAATATAACTAAGATATTTATGGCCTTTGATCTAAAATATTGACTTATTTCTCAAATACTCTTCAAAATTCATCCATGTTAAAGGAATTGAAATATTCAACAGTTTGTCTAAAATTGATTGGTCCTGAAACTTATAACACTTCTCCCCTTTCTCTTCTATAATGTAGATCTCTCCATAAATGCCTTCTTTTCACCTTCCAGGCAGAAGAGAGGCTAAAGGCAACAGCAAAAGATTGACATTGAACTACAAGATAGCAGACACTAATATAATAACTCAGCAACTCCCCACCCTTTCCATTCTCCCAGTACTTTGACTCATCCCACATATTCCTCTCCAAAGAAGTTCACCTCTCACCATATATAGAAAAGGAAGGGAACTATACATTCACTTAAGAAAAACACTTGAAAACCTTTGTAATTATCCGATTTGAAATGCTAAATATCATAATACATGAATGTTTTATTTCTGGTGGTAACTAATTTCATCTAAAACATGGTACTATAATAATACTACTGTGACCTGCATTAAGTCTGAAAATGAGGCTTTCTATTAGTGTTTTAGAATATTACCACAATGAGATGACTTCTTTTCCACCCCAGTCATTACCAATAATTGCACCATTTCCAAACACCAATTTGGGCATCCCTTTCACAGAGTTATTGCCCTTACCTTTCAGCTCATGGGCTCTAGTGCTCCCATTCAGGGATTCACTGGCCTCATTGGCACTTCTAGTCTGCTGGCCTTTCATTGGCCATCCCCTGTCCTCACTTCACTCTTTATCCAGCTTAGATTCCAAGTGAATCATTCTAATCTCATCCTTTTATAAACTCTCAGCTATTTTTTCCCCTCTTAATATTTTGCTGGAGAAACCCAAATCTGAGTTAAATTTTATCCTCTGCCTACTCTGCACTTGTAATAAAACAGCTGAAAGTGGCTGGATTTAACAACAATGACAAACGTATAACTATAATGACTAGTTCACATTCAATTTTTGACTACAAACCTGAGGTGTGTGCTCCCCACAGTCAGGAAACTCTACTTCCTTGAACTATTTACTCTATTTTATATCTCCTCTCTTAATTACTTTTCATCCCATTCTCACTTTTAGCAGCCCAGCTTGATTCTTTTTGCATTCAGAAGAGAATATCCTCATTGTCCCACCACAGCTAAGTGAACCAAGGTCTTCTCTTTCCTAACTCACCCAGGTGGCCCTCTTCCCTTCCTCAAACATGATGCTTCTCAGATTATCTATAGTGAAGGACAAGCCCCTTCCCTGAATTGAGTGTGAGCCTAAACTTTTGTAAAATACAATAAAAATAACTTACCAAATAATGAAATAAAAAAGACATGCAACTCATATCAATTGCCAGTTCAATGTATTCAAATATTACATTACATTGCTTTAAATCTTGTTGTATATTTGTAATAAATGATCAACATGGTGAGCACACTTCGAGTTGCCTTGCCCTACTGCATCAAATATTGCCCATGGCAGGTCTAATGCATGTTGTTTACTCTGCTGGAACATTCCTCCCCCAGAGAGTCACATGGCTTCTTTCTTATCTTTTTCACTTCAGTAATCACCTCAGAGAGGACTGATGTTTCTGACCACTTTATCTTCTTTCTCAAAACAAGATCTTGCCATCATTTTCCATTCCCTCACCTAGCACTGTTTTTTTCAATAGCACTTAAAATTCACATGGCATTCTTATATAATTATTGTGTAGTGCTTGTTCTCCAATATACAATTCTGTGAAGACAAGGACTTTGTTTACTACTGAGTTCTCAGTATTTAAATTATACTTGCCACAAAGTAGGTATTTAATAGTACTGAATAAATGCATATATTGCACCAAAAATATAACCAAAGATAACTAGAATGTTATCATCACAGGTTTCTGGAGAACTGCAAAAGGTTTCTATAGTTTCATAAATATCCATGTGTGGATTTTGTCACAATAACATATGTTCAATGCTTCTCTACCATGTGACCCAAAATTAGGGAGGAAATCAACAACAAATCTCTCTCAGGAAGGGCAATACTGTGGTGACAGTAAATTTTAACTGTCAGATGTGGTGTTTAAAACAAAGTTGACTTTCCAACAGCTACACAATAACAAGATTTTTCAATTGTTTTAGGCTGCTTAGGGGAAAATCAATCAGAATAAGCTTTTAGACAGAAGAAACTCCTAATGAAATGAAGGCATAAACAATTAAAAGGCACTGCCTTTCAAGAAAGCTAGAGGTGAATTTGTAATACTACTGTTCCTTAAAAATTTGTTAAGAGGGTAGTTCTTGTGTTCCTATCACACGCACACACACACAGACACACACGTAATAATAATAATAATAATGTAGATGGTGAGAGAAAACTTGTGGAGCTGATGGAGAGATTTATGGTATAGATTGTGGTGATGGGTACATGAGTATATTCTTATGTCCAAACTCATAAAGTTGTGTATATTAAAATGTACAGCTTTTACATGTCAATCTTGCTTCAATAATGTGGTTTAATAAAGACATTAATGCTCCTTCATTTACAAAGGGATCTGAGTTTATTTTAATTTATTTCAAAACTGAATTATTGTGTACTCCCCCATGAAAAAATAAATATATATAGGTGAAATTCAGAATATGAAGAAAACAAATTGAAGAAATAATTGAGTCCTTATTCTTGAGATTTAAAAACAACAGTGCCAAGTGTATTGTTTTGAGGAGTTAAAAATGATCAAAAAAGATTACTTACTAAAAAAATTAACCATAAGCTTTTTCAGATTATATTTATGCCTTGAATATTTTCTATTACATTAGGTATAATGTGTATTCTATTATCTTACAACATACGTATCTTACAGTTAGCATATTAAGAAGTCATTTCTATCTTAAAAAATGATTTTTAACTATCTCACTGAAAGTTATTAACTGATTTTTATCAAATTACTATAATGTGGGCACCCATTACTTCATGTTCCCAGGACTCCAAGTCTCTGCTTAGGGAACAGCAGCTATATTCTGGAAAATGCTTCTTCCTCCATTTGGTTTGATGGCAGCTCCATCTTTCTCTGTACAAATGCAATCTCACTTACATCTGGGTCAGGTGTAGTACCCTAGACAGCTAAGTGGGGTTGAAGGGTCTAGAAGCAGCCCTTTCCCTAGATAAGCCAAATCAGGGCCTTCCAGCAGATCCAGGGTTAGTGGTTCAATCCCTTTCTGGCAGTGGCACTGCAGGATGGGAGAGAAAAAGGCTAGTGACATTGATATTTGACTACAAAGGGGCATGAAGGAATATTTTTTGGGGTAATAAAAATGTTCTGTATTTATGAAAACTCATTTATACTAACATGATCAATTTTACTTTATATATTTCAATAAACCTGATTTTAAAATTCAAAACTCCAATGTACTTCTTTACCTAATTTGTTGCTTGTTGGTATTGTATTTTACCATACTGTTTGTGTGTGTGTTTATGTGTGTGTGTGTTTATGTGTGTGTGTGTGTGTGTGTGTGTGTGTGTGTGTTTTGTGATGGAGTCTCGCTCTGTCACCAGGCTGGAGTGCTGTGGCATGATCTTGGTTCACTGCAACCTCTGCCTCCTGGGTTCAAGCGATTCTCCTGCCTCAGCCTTCCGAGTAGCTGGGATTTCAGGCACACACCACCACGCCCAGCTAATTTTTGTAGTTTTAGTAGACATGGGGTTTCACCATGTTTGATTTCCTGACCTCGTGATCCGCCCACCTCAACCTCCCAAAGTGCTGGGATTACAGGCATGAGCCACCGTGCCCAGCCTACGATACTGTTTTAAAACTGTTTATATATATATACATACCAATTTGGCAAAACTTTATTATTTGCATTCTAATCTGCAAATATCACATAAGACACCATGTCAAGGTACAAAATTAATACTTTAAAATCATTCTGTGGAGCAGTGTATAATACTCAACAATTTCACATCTTGTTTGCAAAATCTGTAAGTATCATATAATTGCTTCACTTAGAAACATGTTTTAATATAAATGAATAGTCTGTAAAACAGACACTGGAGAACTAAAGTGGGAACATTTCTCTTATTCCAATCTAATTAGCTCATTCTTCTACCTCAGTTTGCTCTCCTGTTATCTTCTGAGATATTGTCTTTGTACAAAATGAATATTGCATTCATTTCTAACTGTGTTCTAAGTAGTAAATATTATTAGTTACCATATATAAATGCATGCTGTATAGTATGTGAAATTTATACAGAGATTATATGAACAGATATTGGAAACATTTATGAATAAAGATGACAATATTTAGAAATGTTTAAATATTCTGGTAAAATAATAATCTGCTTAAAGCTAAATAGCTACAATAACATTTTACAGAGTTTTTTTAACTTGGAATTAGAAGATACCAGGAGCATTTTATGGTTTCAGAAAAACTATTAATCATCCTTTGGTACTAAATAGCAAAACTTTAATTCTTCTTTCAGGATAGACCATCAGATTTTCATATTCAAACTCATTCATCAGTGTCTCTCTTCCATGGATGTAGCTATTTCCAAATATTTATACATTTTTTACCCTTAAAATTGTAAAATAGAAAAAAAATCATTAAAAATAAGAATCAAACCATATAAATAAAATGCATCCAATAAGTAAATCTCAGTGTTTTCAATACTCATACAGAGACTTCTTCCTATCAGCAGCATGTCATTGATGTGAGGGTTGGCCACAGATTGCTGCAAATGTTTTTAAAACTCTATCACACAAGTACATATGAGGATACCCTGGCTCAACAATAGATCATACGAAAACAACACAGGATAAAACAAAACAATAAAAACTGAGAAGTGAGGAAGTGCTCTGCAAAATAAAGTATCTGATGGACCAAAAATGATTAATATAAGTTTACAAGTGTCTCCTTTCCTTCTCTCCAACCAATAAAGCAAAGGCTTTTCTGCCTGCTCTATTTTCTCCCCTGTTTCAGTAATCTTAAAATGTACAGATTCTTTCTTATTGTGGAGAAGGTTAAAAGGTAAATTTGTATGATAGTAATGTGATGGAGAAAAAAAAACCACAGAAGAATTTGAGTTGACTGCTAAACTTGAGCTAAGATAAGGCTGCCAAGAATATAATCTTAGTGACCAGAAAAAGGGAGGTGAAAAACAATCACAGCCCATATTTGGTTGAACCACAGCATGTGAAGTTCACTTGTCTATGTCATATATTAAGAGGGGCACTGATGAACTTATTTGAATGATGAGTATGTGCTGGCCATCATGGTAGAAGAATCAGAGTTTTGCTATTTGGTACCAGAAGGATGAGGAGAATACATTTTACTTAAGTAGGTAGATGCTGCCTAAAAATAAAAAGGGTTGCTTTGTGAGGTAGAGAATTCCTGATTATTGGAATTTTAAAATATTCATTGAAAAATGTACTTAGCATATATTATGTAAAATGCTATGCAAAGCATTATGAAATTCCAGATAGTAATAATAATAATATATACTTCTTCCCTCAAAGAATGTCTACTACAGCATGAATTTGGAAGGTATAAGTAATGGCTGGGTTGGGATTATTGTAGAAGGTGATCCTCTTTTGACAGGAAAAGGACAGAAATGTTCCTCTATAATCCCTTCCAATTCAGACAGTTAATGCTGATCATTAGCATTTTATTATTCCTTTCCTGAAGAGACTTGATATTCCTTAACAGGTTACAGATATACTATTAGCATTTCTTCAATATACCAATCCGAGCAGAAACCAAGGACTGGCTGATTGCACAAAAAGAATACATTAGCCTTTCATTTCTTACCTTTGCAAACTTTTAAAACATTTTAGAGTTATCAAAATACAAAAATAAAAAAAATTTCTGCTTAAAAATGATATGTCCAGCTACAATGATTTACTTAGTAAAAACACTAGTGTATAGAAAATTTATTTGCATGTTAATTAGCCTTGGGGGAATGAGACTTGGTTTATTCTAGGATCATATTATGCCTTTCCAGGAAAAGAACAAAGCCAAAGTTTGGGAAAATGACAGAATTTAATTACCTGTTTCCATGATTTCAAGGGGAATTCATTGACGATATCTTACATAAATGACTGATACATTTTAATCAAAGAGAACCATGAACCAAATCAGTCTGCTTGATATAATGGTGTAGACTGCCATTGAATAAGAAAATCTTTACGGAAATACTTGGACACAGGGTGGGGAACATCACACACGGGGGCCTGTCGTGGGGTGGGGGGAGGGGGGAGGGATAGCCCTAATGTAAATGACCAGTTAACAGGTACAGCACACCAACATGGCACATGTATACATATGTAACAAACCTGCACATTGTGCACATGTACCCTAGAACTTAAAGTATAATAATAATAATAATAAAGAAAATATGGCATATCATGGTTAATGAAATAATAATAATATTGATAATTCTAAAACAGAATAAATATATTAAACCTGAAATGTACTAAAATGGTGTTTTAGATTTGTCTGACTTAAAAATATTTTAACTTTTGAATAGTTGTTATATTGCAGTCACAATGTAATGTTGCTAACATGCATTAGACAGCTTTGGAATTAGATAGGCATATAGTCCAGTTCTAATCTAGTAGTCACTGTGTGACACCTAATCTTGCTAAGGTTATTTCTTGATTTATTTTCAATGGGCTTAATAATACATACATCACAGGGTAGTTGTGAGAATTAAAATAGATAAGGTCTGCATGCAGAGTACTTGGTAAAGAACCTAGCACTTGGTAAGGTCTCAATAAATGGAAGCTGTATATAATGTTTGTAATATAACTTTCTATTTTGATATATGGAAGCCCATTCATATTGCTCTCATCACTCCTCTCTTCCTCCTTGTTCCTGCCAAACTAAATCAGCATTGGATTTATGTGCATGCAAATGATAGGTAAGAGAAGAGGTAGTCACTGCTGAAGGCCTTTAGAACTGAGATTACTTCCAACTAATTGTAGATGTTCACTATGGGGAACAGTGTTCTGAGAGTTACAACATGCCAGGATTTCATTACAATTACAGAATCTTCCTCAATAACCCTAAATGAATCTTATCATTCTACTGGATGATGAAACAGACATAATGTTTGCTCATGAGCTGGAGGCACAATGTAGTCTTAAGACATTCATTAGTATCAATTTGGGTTAAAAGGAATGCCAAGAAGTTTAGCGGATCTGGTTGTGATTTTAGCTACAATCAATATAGCAGTAAACCAGACTCAAAACTCCAGGGGTAAGAGTGGGGGTGGGGTCACAGATCTATAATTACTGCACTGGGCTTAGTATTGCTTTTTAAAGCTTTTAATATCACATAAAATCATTTCTGATTTTATTCCTTTTGACTCACACAAATACATAGTGGTCAATAGGCTAAATAAATGAACAGTTCCAACAAAACTGGATTCAAGAGAGGAGGTATATAACTCTACCATTGTTTATGAAACAAACAAGTAAAACCTAATAAATTGGTATATGTCCTACATTCTAGCCTCAGCAGACCCTGAAGGGCCCACACTTTGAACTCACTGTTCCCTCACTCGGGAATATGCCATCATTTCCCTCCCCGGCCTTCCCTGCTCATCTTTTTAGAGGCATTCCAAATGTTACGCCTTCTGTCAAGACTTCTCTGCTTCCTTGACACTTTCAAACAGCTGACTGCTATTCATGCTTTGAAAATGTGCCCTGTTATAATATTATATAAACATCTGTTTATCCCTTTCCTCCTGGATATCGCATTTTCCTTGAGGTGTCCCAAGTGTCTAAGTATAAAACTACTGAAGAAGGGAAGGGCAACGCTATGAAAAAGACAGATTTAATGTCAAATCCTGGCTCTATCTACAGACCTGGGGAAATTTATTTACACATTCTGTGTTACTCATCATTATAGGAGGATGAAAATGTTCTTTTTTGGGTTTCATGTTTTTATAAAAGATTAGTCAAAGTATGTAAGGTGATTAGCATGCATAGTATTTGGCAAAGACAATTATGGTTTAAAATGTCAGTTATTATTACTGACAATAACTCAAATATAGCATATCATGTTACAAGGGGATTGTAGGACTAAAACAAAATATTAAAGGAATATAAGGTAAAAAAAAGTAATTTTGATTGATATTTCAGGCTGTGAAGCCTTACTGAATTCAACAAATGTTTGTTAAATTGACTTGAATTTCTAGATCTGTTGCAAATTAAACCAGAATTTCAAGATAAATAAAAAATTTAAAAATTCAAAAAAGGGAGGAGGAGTTTTTTTTACCCCATTTTATGGATTTCAGCTTTCCTTTTGTCCATTAGTAATGTACTTGGAACTATATTTTTAAAATCCCATATGATTGCTCTATCAGATTTTACTTTATGAATGTATATTGCCACAAAAAATTAAGTCAAGGGTAGGAGAGAAAGGGGGAGAAAAATTAAGGCATTCTTAAAGACAGTCCTTAATCTTTATCTATATAGCTTTAAACATCTCTTTAGTAGATTATTACTAAATATGAGGCACTAAAAATGGTAAGAGATCCCATACATAGTTAAACATACAACTGTAAGAAGTAGTAGGAAAGACCATAAATTCTTCATAGATGAAAACTGCAGATCAGATAGTTATTTAAAAAAAAAAGTGTGCACACACACATATACACACCTATTTGTCAGAAGGTAGCATAAATATAAGTAACATTCAAATAAAGATTCTATAAATCTATGCTTCTTTTACGTTACACAAAGGCTTCCACTGTAGAGAACGTGGTATCTTAGGAAAATTAGATTTAACTACTAGAAGGTTATTACAAACTTCTAAAAAAGAAGTTTGAATGGAGTGATCAAGGAAACAGAATAACAGATGATTAATGAGTAAATACTATAGAGGCAAGAATGATAAAAAGGCAATTCTTTGAAACTTTCACTAATGAAGAAAAAATAAAATAGAGTATAATCAGGGAAACTGGGGTCAAATTAAAGGGTTTTTTTTTCTTGATGAGATTTAAGAATATGAATATTTGTGGCTGCTTTAATGAAGATAAAAATTTCAAGATGAATTGTTTGATGGAAAAGGTCCCTGCAGAGACCAGAGCACCAAAGATTAAGGAGACCTAGGAAGGGGCTATTATCTCTGAAAAGGCATAGGATGTAAGTGCCACAAGGTCAGGAAGAAGGTAGAAGGGAGGACATTCTAAAAAATGTTTTGTTGAGGAAAGAAACAGTAATCGTGGAGTTAACATTAAATGCCGTTGATTTTTCTCACTAAAATCAAAGGGAAGATTTGTAGCTGAGAGTTAAGAGAATGGTTAGATGTTTTAAAGAATGGGACGTCGTCAGAGCCACCAGCTGCTCTCAGAAATAAGAAGTGGAAAGAGATGAATCCAAAGTACTGATGGTAAACTAGATGTCTACTAGAACCAATGAGCACAGTGACAGGACTTCAGGTCACATTGATTGTGGGATTTATTCAATGAAGTCTGACAAAACGAGGGATATCAGGGGAGAGGCACCCTAGCTGGAGTGAGTACACTGGTGAAATAGTCCAAGAACAGATCCTGACAGGGTAGGGAAAGGAGAAAAACTTAGAGAGACTGAGGAATTGGGTTTTGCAATGAGGCTGGGTAGGAAAAAAAAAAAATCAATGTAGTGAGGAGGAAGAGGTTGAATTGATAAGTTTAATGCTAGAAATCAAAGGGTCTGAGCAGTGTGTGGGTGCTCATGGAAACAGAAAAACAAGGAAATGGGTTATCCATTTGGCTAGTTAAGTCCCCTAAGACGGTGATAAAGTGAAAAGGAATGAGAAAAAGCAGACCCACGTGGCAAAAGGGTGATTAAAAATAAATAAGGTCTGCTTAGAGTGGACAGATCGTGACAGAGAAAGTATTAAAATAATATCATTTATATGATGTGACTCACAAAGGGGGAGCAACTTGCGGAAGAAGAGTGACAGAATTATCAGGGGACATCATCTAAGTCTAGAGGCAGTACCTGGTGACCTGCCTGGAAGGGTCTGGAACTCAAACATCTGCAGGACTGACTCTGTAACACCTCTTTTTTTAAATTACAGAATCCAGTTAAACTAGAATTTGTCATGTGTCTTCCACCTCTCTACAACTGAGAACCATGAGGAAAATGATCCAGAACCAAGGATACTTTTTGCCTTCAAGTTGAACAAAAATGTGTTTGGGAAGAAAAATAAAATATGTGAAGAAATTAGTTGATTAACAAGATAAAATATAAATAACTGATGTGTATGATATGTGAAATCAAAATCAAAGAAAGACTAGACACTTGAGAAAACCAGGATTTCACTAAGTTAGAATGATAATGGTAAAAAATGGCAAGATAGTGAAGACTGATTAAAAAAAAAAATCAGGCGATTTCCTCAGTAAGGTATAGCACAATGTGCTGCAGCCGCTGGGACATGGTTGAGAAAGCTATTAATGCATAGTATAAGAAAAGTAATTTAATCTATTTAATCATGTTCACCATTCTCCAGCATGTGGATTTTCCTATTAATTAAGGCATATTACATATATGCTATCAAAAGAAAAAAAAGTGTTTTCCAGATTTTGATTTAAATTACTTGGGTGTAAAACTGTACTATCAGAAGGTGTCTGGGCTTTTCAAACTACAATTAGCATTATATTTTTCACGGCAGCTCTACAGTTTGAAATCCATCTTTCAAATTAACAATGAATGTAAGCAAATATACTGCCCTCCCCTTCAAGAATCAGCTAGTTTATAAAGAATTTAAGATAAAGGCATTATAACACTGTTCTGACAGACAATGACAACGTTTTAGATACAATACCTGCTAAATAAAAACATGAAATTCAGCAAGATTTTGTTAATCATTTCATTTTATGGAAAATTCGTTCATTCAATTTTCCCAAGACAAAATGGTCTTTTCCCCTGAAATATTAAAATAGCTAAAAAGGCTTTTATACTATCCAGTATAAAGGTATAGTTCAGACCTCCATTTATCAAAATGTGCTTCACTCTCCATGGTCCCAAGAAAAAAGTAAAACTCCACAAATACTGTCAATAATAATGATGGAAGCTTAGGAATTCAGAAGCATGTATTCTTTAGCTAAGAATTGATTTCTGATTAGAGCAGGCCATGATTGTGACAGAAAAATTAAAGAAGAAGGATAGAAAAAGCTAAGACAGGTTTATTTCCTAAGACTTAACATTAAGAGTCATAATTGTTATGAATAATGTAGTGATCTCAGTTGCATGTCACATCTTATCTGTTAATAAATAATTGATATATATTAATAATTAAAATTGAGAATTTGTATATTGACAAAAGAGAAAATCCAATTCATAATGAAGGCATAACAAATATGAATCTCTACTGAAGCATATAGCATCAGAATGGCAATAGCAAAAAAATTAGGAAAAAAATTGAGCAAAATTCAGTTTTATTGGTGTCAGCCATTAGTATCTGTAAAAAAATCACTGCGACCTAAAATGATCTCGCTGACTTTAGCAATATAATGACAAAGAAGGTTTAATGATGGTAAACTACCATATTTTAGATAAAAATTTCTTCTTTAATAGTCTATATATCTTTGTAAACAACAACAAAAAAATCAACATTAACCTGGATAGTGAGGACTAAAAATTTTCAAAAACGCACAAATTACACTACCTCATTTTTGATCACATGTAATACAACAGTCAAAACCAATGGGAGATTTTTTTTAATGGCTCGCCTAAGGAATTACTTCATCAAAGAGGAAATAAAATGCAATTACAGATAATTTCAAAAATAATGAAAATGATAACCCAATTTCCAGCTTTTATAAATTCTCATAATTTGTTACTTACATAGTGATGAAAGATGAAAATACAGGTAGAGGTACAAACCTATATTCCATTTTTATGTTTACTTTGGAAAATATTAAACATACAGAAAAGTAGATAGAAGAATGTAACAAACCCACATGTACCTAGATTCATTAACTATATTAGTTGATTTGTTCAAATTTGGATCTGAATAATGTCCACACATTGTGTTTTGGTTGATAAGCCTTTTAAGTCTCTTTAATCTGTAAGTCCTTTCTCTCCTCTCCCATTCTCACACAGCACTTGGGTGATTAAAGAAACCTGAATATTAGTACTAGAGTATTAGTACATCCTAGCAATATTTATACATTATATAATAGAAAGTCCTACATTCTAGATTTCTTTGCTTAGTATTATTCACACATCTCTCAGTGCCCAGAATATCCTGTAAACTGGTAGTTATACTAGAAGTTTGATAAGATTCAGACTTGAATATTTTTGGCAAAAATATTTCGTAGGTGTCGTATACTTCTATTAGGAGGCTCAGAATATTCAGTGCTCCATTTTTTGGAATATTAACAGCCATTAAAATCATCACCTAAATCCATTTTATTAAGTTTTGCACAGTGGAAATATTATAATTCTACCATTTTGTCTTTATTCATTAGTTGGAATAAATACAGGGAGGCTTCACTCTTCAGCTATTTAGTTATCTTGAGTTACGGTTAATTTAGGAAAGGCGTGTTAAATATTTCTTTCCCTATAGGTTTCAGAATATGTTGGTTTCCTACTATCATCCAAAGATTATCAGCGATATCAATTTTATAATCTATAGATTGGTGTAAAAGTAACTGCAGGTTTTGCCATTGAAATTAATGGCAAAACCTGCAATTACTTTTGCACCAACCTAATATTAAGAATTTTAAAATATATTTTATGTGATTCAGTCCATTACAGTTACTTCCTTTGTTTCAATCTTTTTATTTTACCTCAGACTGGCTAGTGGTAGTGATTTCAAGCTGGCTCCTCAATTCTTGTGACAGAACTTTAGTAAGCTTTGATACCTTCCTTATTTTCTAGTGTTATGAGATGTTTCAAGCTCTAGTATATACCTGGTTCAAATGTGGTATCAGTCATTGCTCCAAAGAGTCACAAAAGTTTGGATAAATTAAAAAGTGCAAGATCAGTAATAAAAATATTGGGAAGCATTCCTAACTTATGTGGTGAACACCAGTAAACATAATTCTGCTGTCCACCTATCCATTCCAGGGTACAAACACCAAGTTTAAGAAACGTAAGTTCTGTGCTGATGTAGCAATTATTGCAAGTTTCTTACAACTTAAATTTTATAGTTTTGACTACATTTTTTTCTCATGATTTACCATGAGTGTTTGTGTTTGGTCATCTATGTATTCTTTAAACTATATGTCATAAAGTTGAAATTCCCAATATAAGCTAATATTTTATAAATTAGACCTGAAATAAAAACAAAAAATATGGAATTTCTTAAATATCCACCTAAATACAAGCTTTGATAATAATCTGGAGAATAAAAAGCATAATACATACTAGGTATTTGTCCATTCTCACATTGCTATAAAGAACTACCTGAGACTCAGTAATTTAATCAAGGAAAGAGGTTTAATGGACTCACAGTTGCATAGGCTTAACAGGAAGCATGGCTTGGAGGCCTCAGGAAACTTATAATCATGGCAGAAGGTGAAGGGGAAGTAAGCACATTTAACCATGGTGGAGCAAGAGAGAGAGAGAGACAGTGAAGGTGGAAGTGCCATGTGCTTACAAGCAACCAGATCTTGTAAGAACTTACTATCACAAGAACAGCAATGGGGAAGTCCACCCCCATGATTCAATCAACTCCCACCAGGCCCTTCCTCCTACATGAGGGGATTACAATTCACAATGAGATTTCAGTGAGGACACAGAGCCAAACCATATCATACTGGCAACAAAAAGATGAGAGGAATATACAATCGTTATTTAAGAAAATAACCTTTATTTAAAGCAATTATATAAATGTATAGAAGTTTTGGGATCCACTTCTAAATAGTTCTAAATGCTTATTTATACATGTGTCTGTATGTATATATACATGCATGTCTGTCACACTGGCAGTATAGCATCATGTTTAAGAACACGATTTGTAAAGTCAGACTGCCTGAGTCCTTTTAATAACTGTGTGACCCAAAAGAAGTTACCCAACTCCTTTTTCTTTCGGTTTCTATGCCTTTAAAATGGGTATAATAATAACTTATCGTAAGAATGCAAATGAATTACTACAGATCCATCATGATTTGTCCAACATCAGGAATAAAAGCTCTGAAAACCAAAAGTTTATTCAAATTCTGAACTATGATGAGGCAGTTTATAGTATTTAATAATCCCTCTTGCTTTTGCTTCAGGGAGACTAATGTGTCTGATCACAGGAAGTTGTTCCAGACTCCACTAGAGAATTAATAAGCTTTCATGTCTGAGCATAGGCTATTGATTTTTCATAAACTGTCTTTCAACACTACTGCATCCTTTTAATACTTGCTTCTACTTTTTTCTTAAATGGGAAAGATACTTTAAGACTCTCAGGATTATCTCATTTCTTAAAACATATACATGAGATTATTTTTAACTATCTTTTTAAACATATATTTATATCAGTATTATGAAGCACATCACAGTTGACTAAATAAACCACAAACCTATAAAGAATAACATTTCTCTAAAACTAAAGTGACTTGATATTTGTTTTGGATTATTATGGATTATTATACAGCTTGTGAATGGTTAAAAACATTCCACAGTCATTTAAATTTCTAAGTTTATTTCTTTTCCAGTTGCATTAAATATAAATACTCAAGAAAAATAATATTTAAAGTATCTATAAGGATTGCCATTCTAACTGGTGTGAGATGGTATCTCATTTTGGTTTTGATTTGCATTTCTCTGATGGCCAGTGATGATGAACATTTTTTCATGTGTCTACTGGCTGCATAAATGTCTTCTTTTGAGAAGCGTCTGTTCATATCCTTCACCCACTTTTTGATGGGGTTGATTTTTTCTTGTAAATCTGTTTAAGTTCTTTGTAGATTCTGGATATTAGCCCTTTGTCAGATGGGTAGATTGCAAAAATTTTCTCCCATTCTGTGGGTTGCCTGTTCACTTTGATGGTAGTTTCTTTAGCTGTGCAGAAGCTCTTTAGTTTAATTAGATCCCATTTGTCAATTTTGGCTTTTGTTGCCATTGCTTTTGGTGTTTTAGACATGAAGTCCTTGCCCATGCCTATGTCCTGAATGGTATTGCCTAGGTTTTCTCCTAGGGTTTTTATGGTTTTAGGTCTAACATTTAAGTCTTTAATCCATCTTGAATTAATTTTTGTATAAGGTGTAAGGAAGGGATCCAGTTTCAGCTTTCTACATCACAAGGACAGAAAACCAAACGCTGCAAGTTCTCACTCATAGGTGGGAATCGAACAATGAGAACACTTGGACACAGGGAGAGGAACATCACACACTGGGGCCTGTCGTGGGGTGGGGGCAGGGGGGAGTGAAGGCATTAGGAGAAATACCTAATGTAAATGATGAGTTAATGGGTGCAGAACACCAACATGGCACATGTATACATATGTAACAAACCTGCGCGTTGTGCACATGTACCCTAGAACTTAAAGTATAATAATAAAGAAAAGAAAGTATCTATAAGGAAATGACAACTTTTTAAGTGAACAGCTTCTCTGTCTAGTTCCTACTGACTGAGCTGTATGTACGCTGGAAAGGGAACAAGACACACATTTAATAGAGGAGGGCCAAGAGCACTGGAAGAAAGTCTGAACGTTTGGTTCATCCACAATACACAGACACTTCAAAATAAAATAAATCATTTAAGAGTTAATTTATGTAGGTTTACATAAACTTCTGGTTTCTGTTTCCTATTTTTCATTTTTTCCTTCATATAAAAACCACAGGAAGCATTACTGTTGTCAAATACTTGACCCGTTAAGTCACTCAAACCATATCTGCACAGTGGCCACTTCACGTTTCCTTTCAAAACCTTCATCAAACAGTTAATAGTTATAGCTTTTTAAAAAATCTTCATTTGAATAGGAAGCTTGTTTAATTCCTCTACTTTACTCCTATATACAGTATCATTCTTTTCTGTATGTACATGAAAATGTGATGGTTGTCATGGGCTCCCTCACAGGTAATAATTTTTGAAGTTCTTACCTCCTCAAGACTAATACAGATCAAAATCATTGTAGGGGTCAAAAATCCTTCACTTAATTAATTGACTATATTGAAATTATTTTAGTTTCTGAACATATATGGGGTAGTCAATGAAATCAAAATTAGTTTTGAGTGACAAGAGACAGTACAGAAATGCCTCTTTTATATCTGAAGGGTTGTAAAATTCAGTATAAAACAACAACAACAAAAAACTTCATGCAAAAAAGAACTGGAACCATTACAGAAAAAAAGAAATTCTGAAACCTAAATGATCAGTTTCATCTACATGAATAATTCAATATTAGGTGTAATTCCAAAAGGATATAGCAAGTTTCAAGATTCAATTTATTATGTTTTTGATCCAATGAAGTAGATCAAAGCCCCAGACTAGGAACTTTCTACAAACTACATATAAAAATGCCAAGTGATTTTCATCACCTTCTGGTTTATTTCCCAGTAAAAGAACCTATCAATGAGGTTTCATTCCTAACTGCTGTATTTCTGCATAACATGATAAAGCTGAATATGTTCCATTACCACAGTTTCCTACTCACGGGTTGTAAGCTCATTTTATATTTAAAGTATGAAAGTTGTGGAAAACCCATTATTTGAATATTTTAGAAAGAATCATAATCAAATATGGTTTTTGAATGGAAATTACAGAATGAAAAGCAAAGTCTTCACACTTTCTAAAGTACCAATTTGCAACTCTTGTATTTAAAAAAAAAATACAGATGGACGTAAACTTGTACAGGACCTCTAAAAGTCTGCTTGTGCTGGTACCAATAAAGTCTATTTCTTCCAGACAGTCTCCTTATGAACCTGCTCTGAAGACATGAAGATAAATGTAAGCTATCAATCACTTCCATGGCAATAGATTGTGATGTCAAAACAGAGAGGAATACAGATTTATGGTAAGATGGCATATATTTGGATAAACAAAAAATTTAGCAAAAGGTCTAAAAACAGGTAAAATGGGCAGGATTATGTTTACTTACATCCTGAGGTTTCTTTAGTAGCACAAATTACATATTGTTATAAAAGAATTAAACTTCATTTATATCTTGATATCTATATTCTTCTTCAAAATTATTCTCATTTCAGGGCATTGGAAAGCTCACGTAACTTAAAAAGAGGACAATTACTGTTGATATTTTAATATTTTCATACTCTAACAAATTAACATTTCATATTAAGTAAAAATAATTATGTACTTATGCAATCAAAAATGTACAGTAATAGTGATAACTACATTCATTCTAAAAGGGAGCAATATCAGTACCAAGGGGGAAACTGATTCTTAGAGGGGACAAAAAATACTACTCTTTTTATACACATACATAAACAGATACACAGCATATTTGTGGTATTAAAAATTTCATCAGAAGACATTAGGAAACAAATTCTAAAATGGCTGGTATGGATGATAATGAACAAAAGTTTCAAAAACACGAGATATACTCCCATTAGCTGAGAAAAGAGGACTATAAGATGATACAAAGTGGATGAACAACAAAGTGACAGAAATTTTGCCCTAAGAGAGAAGGAGTTTGCACTCTTAACACTGAGGAGGTAGATCAGTAGGAAAAAGTTTAGTCCAGAAATTTAAGTTATAGCAACTCTTTTCATTAGCCATGTGCTTGGCCACATTACTTAACTTTCCTTACTCTTGCTTTCCTAAATCTGTAATGGAGACAACAAAACCTAAGCTCATGAGGTTGCTAAATTGAATGTAATAATGGAGGTGAATCCTTAGCACAGTGCACTGCAAATAATAAATAATATGTTAGAAATAAGTATTAATAATATGTATTTTAATATAAATTTATATTGACAAATAAAAACATTAAGGCTAATCTTCCAAAGCCTAAAACATGTTACAAGATGAACTTAATACTAAAATAATCTGAATATAAAATAGGATCCTTTAATGCTTTAGTGACCAAATTCAAGAATAAGATATTGAATGGAACTGTAGAACCTATATTTGTATAAAATTTTAGGTGAGTACACCTCCATCTGCTCAAGATGATGTATACATTTATAAGCCTTAAGGAGAGGGGCTAGACCAGATGGTCTTGTATTCTCTTCCACCTCTATTCTTTTAAAATCTCAAATAATTTCGGTTAAACAAATATGATCACTCAAAATCATATAAAAGATACAACTTCTTAGCCCATGTTTAAGAACACAATAGCTTATATTTTGAAACAATTTGTTTTGCATGTGAATTTAGTCAAAAATAACAAACGATAACTGCATTCATAATTAACAGTTCTGTGGCTTTCTTGAATATAAATCAGAAAGAAACAATATTTGTTTAATGCATTACTGAAAGTTCATGTTCTAGTAGCCCTATGTGAATTGTCAATGTGTATTCCATAGCTTGTTATGATTTATCTTCATCACCCACAGGCCAAAATTACCAGACTCCAATTACTTTGCTTCCTAGATTCAAGAAAGAGAGAGAGAAATTATGTTAATCCTACCACAGGAGATGGTTTAAAATGCCCGAGGTAAAGAAAGTAATCTACTGTTCTCTGACATTCACTGCCTGAAAGTCATTCACATTAACAACCATTCAAACTTGTTTAGTGCAAGCCAATTGCTTCTATTTCCCTCTTGTCAGTTACATTAGCTCCAATTCAAATTTAACTCTTATAAAATTAAAAAAATAAAACTCTCTCAAAGCCAGACAAGGGTATATGTGGGTGCTGACAGAATATAATGCTTCTGAATTTACCAACTTTAATAAGATAAATTTCAAAGTTTGATTTTCAAGAAGTACACTGTACTCTTATATGCTTATATTTGTTCTCTTTTCTAACCCTCATAAACTTGGGTGTAATGAATGGACAAATAAACATATTTGTCAATTTAAAACAAAAAAATAAAAATTATCATTTATACTATGGACAGCATCAGCAGAAAAAGCAAACGTCCCTAATTTCAACCAAGACTATGTCATTACTTATGATTATGAGGTAGAGATCAAGTTACATTTCAAACTGCATAATATAATCTAATATTCTTTCACTAAGAACTATGAAACTCATATAACAGACCATTAACTTCCAGACAATTTAGAGCTTACAAGGTTAACATCAGCACTACAAAAAGGAAATGGGGATGACATTTAAATAACAGTAAGTGGCAATATACCATTATACAACCTAATGAGGATACTAGTTTTGATGTTTATCTATTATGTTGAACTATAAGACTTACATTTTACAAGCAGATGAACCTTTTTTTATATTATTCAAGACATAAATCTTACATGTGTTGCTAAAAATGTATGATATATAATACAGCTACCAGTGAACTGAATCTTACATTTTTTAAAATCTAAATTTACTCCATTTTATCTTGTTTTGTCCTCTGTGTCTTTGCGTGTGTTTATACATTTGTGCATGAAAGAGAAAATGAGAGGACACTGACCTCTTTTTGGGCCTTCCCATGTCTGCATGTGTTGGGAAAGCCAGAATGTGGGTATAGCTCATGCACTCCTTAAAACTGTCTTAACACTTTTCATATATACAGAAAGAGCCTGAGATGAAAGCAATAAATCCAAATATATTTAGAAATAATTGATTGAATTGATTGTCAAATCCTTGCTGAAGGCAGTATTTCAACTTAAGAATGAGTCACATACTTCATGTGCTCAATTAATGAAAGAAAGAGCAGACATACTTAGTTAAATCTATTAGGGAGAGGTCCATTAATCGTAAACTTTGAGTAGTAAAACAAATTGCAGGAAGCTACAAATATTGATAAGATCTGTAGAGAATCTTGCTCAGAGACGGTAGTCAAATACTTGGAAAACAGCAATGTGGACATCAACACTGATAGGCTTTTGTGCCTTCGGGTTTTCTGTTTTTCTATGTGATTAGCACAATTCTAGGTGCTACTTATTTGAACACTGTGCCAGTTGTTACTCTTAAATTATTAAGATCAAAATGAAACCTAACTTTCTACTTATTTATGTTTAATATGTTAATGTTTTATATATAATACTTAATGTTAATGTTTAATATTCATTATTAATATGAATAACATTATGCTTAACATGTTTCTATTTATTAGAATAAAATACTTTTTTCCTACCAAGAAATATTTGTAAATGCAGTTATCATTCTACCTTTACTTCATTGAGATGTTTCGACTGGTTTTGGACTGGGATGGGCTTAAATTAGTTAACAATTTTTCATTTTCCCCATTCTCTTGGGTAGATTTATTCTATAAAAATACAAATGCATGATTAAACCTAAGCTCATGAGGTTGCTGAATTGAATGCAATAATGGAGGTGAATCCTTAGCACAGTGCACTGAAAATAATAAATAATATGTTAGAAATAAGTATTAATAATATGTATTTTAATATAAATTTATATTGACAAATAAAAACATTAAGGCTAATCTTCCAAAGCCTAAAACATGTTACAAGATGAACTTAATACTAAAATAATCTGAATATAAAATAGGTAGCTTGGTAGAAAAATATTTTGCAATTTCCCTTATAACTTTATGCATGGTGGCAGATAAAATGGAGAAATGTTATCACATTTGGAATAGAATAAAGGTTAATAAAAAGCTGAATTAGCTTACTTCTTAGAGCTAGGGTTTTATATTTTTTATGCTATGGATCCCTTTGGCAGTCTACTGAAGCTTAGTCCGTTTGTGAGAATAAGGTTAAAAAATGCTTAAAATAAAATGCAGAGAATTCCAACAGAAACTATAATACATAACTATATTACTTTACCAACGCATTTAATAGAGGGAAGTCTAATAAATATTGTAATTTCAAAGTAGTGAACAATAAATCATATTCCAAGCTATCTGAAACATCTGTAATGTGATATAAGAATATCTGCAATGTTTGTTGGAGATGAAGTCATTGTTGCTACTAACACTATTGTAGTTTGTGGACTATTTGCAATTAAAGGAAATGCTAAATTAGAGAGTAGTGAAGTGGGACATATTTTATTTTCTTGTACAAGTTCTCCTATGGCCTAAATACAATTCATGGACATGCATAGTAAGAATTCTCATTTTAGAAGAATTCTTTCAAGTCCTCTCCATTATCTTCCTTTGACACACCCAAATCCCTCACTCCTTCTCATTTTCTTCTAGAAGATACCCCAGCACCAACTCTAATTACGTATCTCCAATTAATGGCTAAACAGAAACTATTACATAGCAACTATTGTGTTTACACATAAATATCTATACCAAGATAAAGATATTTCAAAAGGAATATGAATGATGAATCTGAGATAAAGGTAACACTGAGACAATCATTCAAGTTCAGAAGTATAGCTTAGCTCACTATAGAGAAAGCATGTCTACTATTCATGAATAAAGCATGACCCTATAATCCTAGTTCTTAAAAGTTATGACCCTAGGCTCATTTTCAGATGCTTTATTAATAAAATAAAATCTTCACCTACTGGTTGTATAGGATTATTAATTGAGCTTTTGTATATGACATCACTATTAAATTGTCCAGTTCTATTATGATTTACTTTGGTAAAACTTTAACCCTCCAACGCCTCTAACTTATGATAAGGAACTAAACAATATGAGTTTGCTTCAATACTAGTAATACAAGATCAATATCTTCATCTTTAAAAAGGTTTTAAAAAACACAGAACTAAATCTTAAATTAATTTCTCCTTTTCAATCTTTAGCTGGCATAAACTGGTTTGCTGAAGTGCATATAACCAATACTGCTTTAAAATGCACAAAACTAAATTACAGGCTGGGGGGGGAGATTAAAAACATTTAATAAATTATTGGAGGGTAGAAGAAAGGCCAGGGGAAAAGAACACTTGAAAAATGGCAGAAAATATACATTATATGGAATATAATATACATTAGAATGTATGTATATATTAGCATGAAAGCCAAAAAAACCAGGGAAATATTAAAATATTTTCCACATTTTCAAACACATTTCAGAAAATAAAAGCTATCTAAATTATCACAATGGAAGTACAAAGACCTCATTGACTAAATGGTCTCCCCATATCATAGCAAACATAACAGTCCTTCATACAAATTTTACAGTTGAAAGTTTACATGTTTGCATGAAATTATATCTTCTGTGAATTCTATGTGTGCAAATTATGCTAAAACTAATATCAAATCACCTAAGACTTTGGCCTACCGCATTAAAAAAAACCTAAATCAAGGGAGAAACAAAAGAAATGACAGAAACACATGTGATGGGAAAGTTTTCCCTAATCAACAGTAATTATTTCAGTTTTACCTTAGTTTCCAATTTTGTTATATAAAAAAGAAATAATTTTTATTAGGAAGTAATACATATAAAGTATATTGTGTACATTTATTTTATCCAACCATTAATTCTTCCCCTTTTTCCTCTTTACATACAGTATGCACACAGGAAGAGATGTCTGAATTTCACCAAAAGTTAATAATGTTTTCTTTTTGCATGAGAGAGGTTTTGGTTAATTTATTTTTCTTTACTTTTTATATTGTGAGAAGGAAAATCATTCTATCCTATGATGAGGTCTCAGTCTTTTGGTAAGCCTGCATCCCTGGATTATGAAGTTAACCATGGCTTCGCATTATTCCTATATAAATATGTAATAAGTATTTATATGAATATATAAATACCAATATAAACTTAAATAAATATAAAATAGACCCAAAAGGTACACACAATTAGGAAAGTAAAATTATGGAGCTGTTCATAAGATGATTTTTTTTCCTCATTACAAATTTTCAAATATGTCTCTGCCTGAATAAATCTGTAATAAATTTATCATAAATTCATAAGGTACTATGAATACTCAAGCATTTATGAAAAATTAATGAAACTAAAGCCAAATCTATATTGTTTGTAAGAGTTTATATCACAGAACAACTGTAGTTCAATAGTTAAGTGAAAGATGATACAAAAATAAAACATATACGTAAAAAACATTTAAAACTAAAAATAGCATTGGACATTTATCAAAATTCTGCATGACAGAAGAATTTCTAGATTTAGCTCTCAGTTACAAGAGTATTTCTTCTAGATATATGTAAGGATAAAGTTACTATAATTCTGACCAGTACGTCTTCCCCTTGGCTTTAGTATTAACTGTTCATCGGAGACACAGCTTTTAGAAAGTCAATTTTCTCATAGCCTTAAGACAAAATAATTTGGTAACAACAAAGAGCAAAGAGATATTCACAAGGATTGCCTGAAGGTTATGCATTACGGACATTCCCCTAGATAGGCTCCACTTTATCCTTGAACCAAGCATAATCCCAACAGAAAATTTTTTTTTCTTATCTTTAGAATTAAGACAAGGTATGCTTTTCTGATTTATTAATATTTTATCCCCTTAAAAATGTTTATTCTGTGAATAAGAGCATAGATTTTGGACTCAGACTTCCCAGCTCAACCAGCTAATAGCTGTGTGATCTCAGGAAAGGCACTTAACTTCTTTGAGATTCTGTTTCTGCAAATGTAAAATATAACAACATCAGGACTCCTCAGGGTCATTGCAATAATTAAATAAGATAATCGTATCAAATGCTGGACAAAGTTTTTAGAATGTTATGAGTGGCTGGTAAGCATTAGCTGCTATATTATAAATAATAAATACTGTAGTAATTGATACAGATTTTGCTTTTATTACTAGTACATTTAGCATCAAATCTATGGTGTCTTCTAATAACATAAGACTCTCCTCTAGTAACAAAACTCTATAAACATAAATTTTTGTTTACTCTCATTATCCCCCAAGTTCATTTATTTTACCTTTAGTATCACTATTTTTCCCAAAATTACTTATCAACTTAGTATTCTTCTGTTAAATCTTTTTGTGCTTTAGTAAATAACTTAGAATTATTCTTGAAATTAGGAATGATGTAAATTACACATATATCCCTATGTAAATATGTAAATAAAATAAAGGCCAGTTGAATAACATTTTATATTCTATAAAATTAACATTGATATTACGTTTTCTGTTTCCTAGTGTTCCTGGAGTTATCAATATCATCTGGAAAGTACTAGGAATAAAGTATAGCACTTCTGGAAAAATATTCAACTTCCTCAAAAAGACTAAAAATGATAGAAACAAAAAAAACTCCCTCAAAATCAGTCCAATATTTTACTTGAAACACAGCCTGTGCTGTGCCTTATACATAAATATAAATGAAAAACTCACATGAACAGAAAAAAAAATATTTTAACTGGTTGATGAGAAAGCAAAATGACAGAAATATGTACACAGCCAGAAAAAAAATCCAATTTTAATAGTTAAGATTACATTAACACAGCGTTTGCTGGCAAGCACTCTAAACAAACAAAATAAATCTTAAACATACAAGTTTAAATTAAAAATAATCTCAGAAGTTAAAAAAGTTAATTGCATTAATATTTGCCATGCAAGATATCTGTAATGACTTATTTCTAAATTGAACAAAAGGAATGTATAAAATTGTTTTCTTATATATTATTCTAGTTTTTTTCATCTGAGATATACTGGGATCAACTTTGTAAAATGTCAATTTTAGTATTTCCATATTACTTCCCTCCATTAACAGGGTTAAATTACAGTTTGAGTTACTTGGTTGCTACTCAAGAGTAATATACTTCATATAACTAGGTGGATTTTAGCAAAATTTCCTATAAAAATAATTCCTAGATAATTTTAAGTTAAACTGCATTGCCAGGCAGAGTCCAACCACAGTAAGGTTCCCTATGACTAAATACTCTAGTAGGGCAAGATTGTAAAGTTGAATAGACATTTCATGAACTTAATTCTTGCAATTACCACATGTTGTATTTATTAGTAACAGTTCTATCATACAACTGATGATTCACCTTCTTAATATTACTTCTACTTACATGCCTTCCTCAAATTCAATTTAGGACTAATTTTACTTCCTGCACCTGACCTAGTAGCATTTTATTAACCATTAAGTAAAAACTTGTCAAAACATTTACTGTTACCAAAAACCTACTTTTAAATAAAAATTTAACTGAGTTCTACTCTGAGGTAAAATGTTTTCAGTTTTGAGAAACTTTAAAAATCTTATTTAAAACATTATCCTAAAAGCAGAGCAAAATAAGAGTAGTACTTAGAAGTTAAAATCTCCAAACAAAGTCACTGCAATGAAAATGCTTCTGGATCAACAGCAAATGCCAGAAAATGTGTTCTTCTCACAAACTCTTAGGAAGTAAATCTTGTGACATCTCCCAAATAAGCGGCAGCTCAATTTAATTCTTTCTTGCATTTTGATTGAAATGAAAGTGAAAAAGGACTTTGCTCAAAATATAAACAGCCCTAAGTGTTGGTGAGGTGGTAGAGAAAAGGAACCCTTGTTCTCTTTTGCAGGTGGAAATGAAAGTTGAACAACCATTATAAAAACAGCATTGAGGTGCTACAAAAAATGAAAAGGATAACTATCATATGACTCAGCAATTGGCACCTTGTGGAGATATCTGTACTCCCATGTTCACTACAGCAGAGGTCCCCAAACCCCTAGTGACACACTGGTACTGGTCCACAGCCTGTTAGAAACTGGGTTGCACAGCAGGAGGTGAGCGGAAGGCAAGGGAGAATCACCACCCGAGCACCACCTCCTGCCATATAAGTGGCGGCATTAGATTCTCATGGGAGCGTAAACCCTATTGTGAACTGTGCATAATGTTTTAAATAGGTTGTGTGCTCCTTATGAGAATCTAACTAATGCCTGATGATCTGAGGTAGCAGCGTTGCACCCTGAAACCATCCCCTGCCACCTCCTCAGTCCATGGAAATACTGTCTTCCATGAAACTGGTCCCTGGTGCCAATAAGGTTGGGGACCGCTGCACTACAGCATTATTCACAATAGCCAAGATATGAAAACAAGCTAAATGCCCATCAGTGGATAAATGGATAAAGAAATTGTGACATATATCTACATAATTCTTCCCTAAAAAAGGCAATCCTGACATTTGTGACATCGTGGGTAAACCTGGAGGACACTATGCTAAGTGAAATAAGCCAGACACAGGCAGAAAATACTGTGACCTCACTTAAATGTGGAATCTTTTTTTCTTGAAGTCAAATGAGAAACAGAGAGCAGGGAGGGGGAGAATATCTGGAGAATCGGTTACAGGCTATACATTTGCAGTCAGGTTAGGAACATTAAGTAGACAGACAAAAATGTACAGCATGAAGACTATAGTTAATAATATCCTATTGTAAACTGAAAGCACTGCAAAAAGAGTAGATTTCAGGTGCTCTGACACCCTACAAAAGGATAACTATGGAAGGTGAGCTATATGTAAATTTGTTTAACTATAGTAATTATTTCAGCATCTACATGTATGTCAAAACACATTGTATATTTTAACATATACAATAAAAAATAAACAGACCCAAGCCTAAGTTAGAAAAACCTATTTTTAAAAGAAAAAAAACAAAGAAGCTTAAGTAAGCCATGTGTTAGTTAAATTCATGCTTATTGCTATAGATCAATCTCTTTATTTTCTTTCTGGTAAATTTTCTCTTTTAAAAGTATTTATTTTTACCAATGAAATGACTTGAAATAAAGTTAATAGATGAGAAAATTACCCATACAATTATTTCCTGATCTCCACAAGTATCACATAGGGTATTTTTTATTGTTATTTCATCATACCTTGATTCTCTCATTTAACATTGTATTATGTTCATTATTGGATTAAGACGTTACACAAATAACTTTAATGGCTAAAAAATGCTTAATACATAGACATAACATAATTTATAAAACCATCTTGTTATTGTTAAGCATTTCTTTCCAATTCCCACTTAAATATGTTATTTTTTTAATGTGTGTGTGTGTGTGTGTGTGTGTGTGTGTGTGTGTATTATTTTAAGGCCACTATTACAATGGAGACAAATAATATATATAATTTTATGATAAACACCAGGCACTTTCCAGAACTATATGGGATAATACAGTTTACTTTTTATTTGAAAAACAAAATAAATTAATGGTGACAAAATAAATGTTGAAACGTTAGTGAATGAATATCTTCAAATTATAGTAGGCATCTTCCTTTTGTTTTTACTCAGATTTTATTTAAATTAGACTGTGAGCAAGTTTTAATAATGGCAATATGATTTCCTAAATTATTAGTTGGACTATCGTATGTAAAATTTTAATTTTGAATAACACAAAGCCTAATAAGAAACTTCATGAAACAAACACCACAAAACAGACCAAGGCAGATCCTGAATACTGCCTGTGGGAGCCCGAGTGTTGGGGATGAGTTAAAACTCCCCTGCAGGCCACAAATAAGTGACAGGGAAGATAGCTACATCTTTGTCTCTACATCTACGCTTAATTTATACCTATCCATTATACTTATCCATCAATAGATAAGTCTATTTCTATGTTTTTACTCAGCAAAGCCTACTTTACTAGGAGACAATGATTAAAACAACAAGAACAACAAAAAACTCATGACATGGGTAATTCCTTTATAATCTTATTTGGGGGGTTAAAGAAAACTATTCATTTGAACTTGCACTTTCTAAAGGTAATATTTCCTAAATCAATCACTTTATTTAAAATGCAAACAGATCTTACCTGGCATATTATTTACTTGAGAAATGACCTCTTTCTTAGGAGTGCCACCTTGGGAGCTAGCACTGAGAATTCATGGTCATCTCTTAAATTAACAACTGTTGTTACCTTTCATTTTTTTCCATAATAGATGCACATGTTGTCACTAAAGAAGAAGAAATTAAAACGACAATTCCTTCCAAACCACACAGACTTGCAGAGAACATTTAAGCAGTACAAAATTTATCACTAAAATAATGAAAGTAAAAAGGCAGAATGTTTATATTTCATATCAATTGACAGATTATGAATGACTTTAAAATGCTAGTGTTATAGATATTGCAAACTAGCATTTTTAGACATAAGCCCTAGTAAGAAAGCAAAAAAAAAAAAACTGTTAACACTTAGATTGTGCAGTGATGCATATGGATACACGTGCAAATACACAGTTTAGAAAATAATAAACGAATTACACATTTCCATGAAAAGCTTCCTTCAGTTTCACTATAAGATAATTCTCCCATATAATGTATAATGATGTACCTTACAAAGGAAGTAGGATGAATCTAAACTCAGGGAAGGAGTGAGGTCTAGGTGGAGTAGAGAGAAGAGTGAGAAATGGAAAGAAGAAACACTTCAAGTAAAATTTTACTTTCTTCAATACAGTGGATCCAAAGTCATTTCAGCCAGCATGTCACAACCTACTTACACATCAACTAGGTTTGAGTGACAAAAATTCACCAAGCCAGAAATGATGCAGTATTTGTCAAAAAGATTGAACCGCACTTTCATATTAGTACAAAAAACCGACAGTGCATGATTATTGCCACAAGCATGAGGTTGTTTAGGGGATAATGCGAGCACCTTAACAGTAGGTAGTAATGGAAAATGTCTAACTCTCTTTCTTACCTTTCAAGGCAGGCACTTGTAATATGCCTTGTTATCCTGCCAAACCATTTCTCACTCCAGACTCTTTAAGTACCACCTGTCCAAGCTGAGAATATATTTTTAACTGAAGACATATACAATATTCCTCACTAAAAACCACGATATAACAAATGCGTTACTAGTCCCATGAAAATTAAACTATTATGTACTGTTTGTAATAAGGGAGCAGCTCTGTTTTGCTGTTGTGCTGCATGAAGTAGACATTGATTTCTCTATTATTTAGAGACTTCTGATGATTTGTATATTAAAGGGCTGTAAGTATGCCCTATTGTTTTATAGAAGAATATTTTAAATTCTGGATGAATTTCTTCATTAGATCAATTCTTGATGTTAAATTTAAGATAAAGGTAACATTTACCCCATTTTAACTTTATTATTACAAGTATATGTATACATGTTTCAGTCAAAAATATGTTTCTAAAAGCTTAGATTTCCAAATTTGACTCTCTTAGAGCCAATTTCATAATTGAGGCACTTCTAACTCGTCTTCTTAAAAAATAAGGGATTGATCAACCAACTCTGGAGAATGTTTTGAAAATCTTTTCACTACACAACTAATAACTGATTTGACTAAGCAGAGCTTTAAAAATGGGCTTACTGGTTATTTACAAAATTATAATTATAAAAATGTTATCACTGAGATAAAGGAGATCAGCTAAAAAAGTAGAAATCAAATTAATACCCAGGATAATTAGCATCATACTTAAGGACTGGAACAGCTTAGGGAATGAATCACTAACAATTTTCCCTACCTTTGTTTTAATAATAGGCAATTGTACAGTCATCTTCTTCAGATGATATTTGTACTGCTGTTCTTAATAAAACAACTCAGTCTTGCTGACCTACTTTTTAGTTTATAATAACATTCCAGTAAAATCTGAAAGGGTAGAAACATTTATTTTCTTCTCTTCACTGAAAGAGAGATAGGTGCTTTATCTCCCCTGTGCTACTGAAAATCCTTGGAAAGTCTAAATATTTAAGTTTGTCCTACAGAGGCTTCTGACTCAAGGGTTTAAAAAATCAGGGTAATTATTTTCGCTCATTACCAAAGCACTCAAGTGTAGAACTTGATAAAAAATTTTAAAAATAAGTTGTTCTAATTGGATGTTGTAGTAAGATATCAAAGTAATACTGATATGTAGATATATATATATAGTGTGTGTGTATATATATAATGTGTATATATATACACACCCACTATAGATATATGCATATCAATGTATATATACTAGATATATATGTATGTATATGATATGCACATACATATACACACGTACATATAAGTGTGTAACATGTACATATGTGTGTACATACGTGTGTATATGACATATATTCTATATCTAGCATATATACATATATATTCTCTCACACACACGAACTATAGGTATATCAATATATTCCAAAGAATGGGCACACCAGCACTGCTAATCATGGGGCCATATGCTCAGGTCCTTCTCCTGTCATCCTGTGGAGGCATCTGAAGGGTGCATATACAGCATATGAGCACCAGGAACCACTAGGGTGAGGGACAATGAGAAGTAAGAGAGCAATAAAGGGACGAATATAGAAATATGCTCAACACACATTAGCTTACTTGCAAGTATGCCTGGGATTGGATGATAAAAACCAACAGTAAACTACATTTGATTCTGCCCTTAGCATAATGCTCTGAGCTACCCATTCTGGGGAACAATTAAAATGCAGCTACAGAAATCACAATTCAACAAACTGATCACAGTTCATAAATCACATATTGAACAAATTTAAATACTTGTGAACACAAAACAATCTGCTACATATTTTTAAGTTATCTCTATGTAAAATAATTACCAGTTTCTGCCCTTGAGCAGGGAGGCTTGAGTAATCAGAATAGTTCATGCAATAAGATACTAACATATACAGTGAAATTTTTCCTACAAGAGCATAATTTCTAAAAATGTGGTTGAAAGAAACTTACTTCAATTTCCAATTCAAGGAAATTATAGTATACTCATGAATCTCGCAAGAGGAATTAAATGGTGATGACACTTAAATCTGTATATCCTGCTGTCTGCCCTCTCTATGAACCATAAACCCAGGAAAATAACTGCCTGACCCAATGCCTCATTTCTAAAAATAAGCACAGAGATTTGCCTTCTAAAACTTTCCCCAATGTTTGAGCCCTTCAAGTTAAAACCTGTCCCTATACCTTAATGTTCCAAGCCAGAATTCACTTCCAATGTGTCACCAAGTTCTACTGATTCTACCTATCAAATCTCTTTCAACACCTGTCTCCTCATTGGAATTCTTATCTCCTCTGCTTCGGTTCAAGTACTGATCAATTTTTGCTTAGACTGAAGTAGCAGCCTTCTAATCTTTCTGAAATCTCCTTTCAGTCCTTTTCTTAAACTATCATTAGAGAAATCTTTAGAAAACACAAATTATTCTAAGCATTCTAATAAAAATTCAAATAATTCATTCTTTAAAAAATGTATTCCCTTACATAAAATATTTTAATGTATTAATTAAGAATTAAGATGAACTGATGGATGAATAAAAAGATGTAAAGGTAGATCAACATTTAGTATAGCAAATACAGCAAAGGTAAATTATAGTGGTGGACATATGAGTGTTCACTGTATAATTCCTTCAGATTTCTGCATGTTTGTAGTTTTTAAAATATTAGAGGAAAAATATCTTTAATGAAATGACTTTTAATGTAGCAATGGCTAATATTTACTATGGTCTTCTTATGTCTCATACATTGTGCTAAGTAAGCACTCTGCAGGAGTCATCTCCATTGATGTGAAGGAAAAATGTTTAATATTGTAAACATGTTTGTGGCTATCCAGAAAGAAGAAGGAGTGGGGAGGGAAAAGAAACCCTCATTTGTAGCACTTAAAATTTCAGTGCTCTAACGTTGCCACTAGCGTAAAAATTAGGAATAAGTGAGCATCAGAGGATCATTATATAGTGTTTCCAACATACAGATAAAATAAACATAAATAACCTCAAGAATAGAAATAATGGTATAATATATTAAAATAACTAGGAGGTTTAAGTGCATGTTCCTTTGTTTAAAATATACTTGTAAATATATATAAATTTATTTCAAAATAATCATTTCACAACCAGCTGGCAAAATTCCTGCAAATTTAATAAATTGATTGTTAGCTTTAGTACATGCCCAAATAGCTCAAAAGTATCAAATTGGGCAGGTTCAGTTATTGATTTTTATTTTATAGATGAAGAAGTGAAACATTACATTAAATTACTTGCACATCAGTAAGGATTACAGCAAGATTTGAACCTAGACTTTACTGGCTCTCAAACCTTAAGATAACCACCTATTTTACTGATTGACTGCTTGATGAAATTATACTCATATTTTAGAGATGTTTTGTGCACATCTATTATACAGCTTATTGGTTTAATTATTAACCTGCATGTCTACCTTCTAACCATTCTGGGCAGCTCAACACAGAAATGCATTCAGGCAGCCTCAGTTTGCATTTATGAGTTTACACTAGTGCCTGACACACAGCAATTACTCAGTACTTGTGAGCTACTGTAATCATAATTCTCTAGACTTTGAGTAGCTAGAGAACAGAGTTTTTATCTTAGAATATCCAGTAATTTAGACAGAGTCTAGAATACAGGAGATACTCATGTAAAAGAAAAGCTTAAAAATGCAATACAAATGATAGTCTTGGTTTTTCTCCTACAATAGCTGTTTGATATTGATCAAATCACTTCCCTATTGAGACTAAATGCCCAGAATGATGATTAATAAAGGAGTTGGACTTGATTAATTATAAAGCACTTACTTGCACTAAAACCATATGATTGGCCTTGATGGTGTCAGTAAAGCGCATTGATATAATACTTTCAAAAAGTAGTTGAATAGTATTTGTCAAGAACTTTTCAGTTATGTGGAAAAAAGGTACATTCATGATCTTCACCGCGGCTTTTACAATGGCCAATAGCGGGAGTTAGTCCAAACTTTCAGTAACATAAGAATGGTTACATACATTCAGATATATATATATATCCAACAGAATATTAAGCAGTCATTTAAAGTGATGGTGATAATGTTCTGTAGAAACAAAGGAAATGGGTTGGCATGATGGCAATTACAATAAGCGGAATATAGAACTGTATATACTTTGTACTTTACAACTAAAATACTCCCAGGAACAGAGAAAAATAATAGTGCATTGACAAAAATGACAATAGTTTTGTAAACATTCTAAAATAATGAGTTTTTTTCTAAATTCTAGTTGCAACATTTGATGTATTATTTTAATATATACATAATTTAAAAAAATAATTTGGGTACGTAAGCTCTATGCAGTCTTTACAGAATATGGGACTTCCAGCAAGGGCCCTCCAAAGAAATCAAGCTTAAGGATAGCTAGTTCACCCATGTCACATTTTATCCACCTAAACAGAAAGGATTTGGCTGTTGTAGAAAGAAAACTCTAAATCAGTATCTGCCCCCCACCCCAAATAAAAGCACAACATCCAAACATGCACAATGCACACACATGCATGAAATGCAAAATTAGCTGGAGGAGAGAGATGGAGAAGCAGGAAAGAGGACTCTGGAACAATGACTCTGCTTTAATATTCTTCACTAATATAATTTTTAAGGTGGTATCTAAATTTTTAAAATTAATTCCTCTTAAAAGGAGAGTGTGTACATATATATATGCATATGTGTGTGTATATTCCTTGTATTAGCAAAAGGTATTATAGGTTCATATGTAACAAAAATATGGTTTTTAGTAAATTTTGGGTAGGTTGAATAACAGGACAGAATATAGCAACTGCTTAAAATAATTTAATTAACAGGTAATAATAAACTGTTTTATGATTGCTTATTATTATTTTGTTGTGGTGAGGGACTATGTAGAAGTGGGAAATAATAACATAGCCAAAGAATGAAAGATGAGTTCTTTAAACTCAACTTCACTGAGATGATTTGGCTGAGACAATTAAAATGAACATCACTCAATGATTTCTAGGCCATATCATATGTAGTGACAGCTGAATTTGCACAGATCTTGCTTAGGGTGACATAAAAGGCATGAATTTCTGCCCTTTGAAGTTCATTTTTTACTGAGTTCACAAAGTTTACTATAAATAAGAAGACTTGGGATTAGAATTCACTCATTTGCTTTTTCCTTTGAACATGCTTTTTTTCCCCTCTGCAGTTTACATTCAGGTTGGTGGAGAGGAAAGAAGATTGAAGAGTTATCCTCCAGCAATTATTAGCCATGATAAGGCCATATCTTGCAGGAAGACAATGAAGACCAGAAAGTGAGATCCTAAGCTGATGATTCCATGTAGTAATGAGTCAAATTAAATGATGAAAATAATGAGATTCATCCATATATCATTTTTTTCAATCAAGAAATTGCACAGAATGACCAACACTCCCCCAAAATGCTAATAATACCTAGGATGGGTATGGTTATCCATACCCATCTGTCAGAACCTGATTTAGAGATTTCTTTCATATTTCAAAACAAAGAAAGGAAATCACAATTCAACAAAAGATATGAATAGGGTGTGAGAATTGAAGACAGAAGTAAATTCTCTAGGTAAAGAGAAAGAAAATCAAGAGCAAGTCTATACCTCATAGTGACCCCAATAGCACCATCAAAGAAAAGTCTCAAACTCACAGGCTAGATCTCTTGAACCTGTCTTTGTGACTAACACATCCCTTAGAGTTTGATGCCTAGATCTATATCTTTAAAATTCTATCTAGGTCATTTTCTTCATCATATACTCCTGGTGTTATCATCATTTAAGACATTATAAATATACCATTTTACTTTTAAAGCCATTTCTACTTCCTGATATCAAATAAAAAACCTAGGACTTGAGGGGAAAGAACATTTCATGAGACTGATGCTGTTATTCAAATCATTTCTACCTGAAGATTTATTGTAGTTATGCAAAATTCAATAAAAACAAACAAAGCCAATAAAAAGAGTACTTAATGATACAGTTAACAGACTCAGCATGTGGTAAAGTACTATGAATAAATAAATACAGTGTCATTAACACTGGTTACCAAATGTCTTTCACCAACTAGTCAGTCAGATGACACAATTTTAAGGTGAAAACAACCCAACTCTATTAGTAAAGTTAATTACACTGCTACTGATGATACCACCTATAAGGAAATGTGCCTTGAATTGGGATGTATGACTAACTGTACAACCTGCTCCTGAGGTGAAACCCAAAAGGTACTGGGCAAGGCTATTTCATATTTGTTCAACTTTCATGACTCTTATGCTGGGAACTCCTAGCATAATAGACCATTAGCAGAATGTATAGGTGTTGATTACCTTATAAGTCAGTCTGTCTCTGTCTCTCCATTTCCATAGAAATTTAGAATAACATTTCTATATTCCCATGAACCCCAGAGGTTTAAAAAAACACAAACAACTTTGATGATATATATTAGAATATGAACTATATCTTTCATTTTAATACCTCCATCTGTCCATATAGATTTCCTATATCTGAGTAGAAAGGAAAGAGGGAAGGCAAACCATCCTTATGGTGACTACTGGCTAGACATTGTTTTATGCATTATTTCACAAGTAAGGAATTATGGATAAGGCCATGGCTTTGTTCAACGGAAGCATTAAACCAACTCTGTTTAGAAAAATTAATAGTGTTTGGGAAAAATTATTTTTGGTCAGATATTATCCCTCTCTTCTTTGGATTACTGAAGTATGTTATATTTTTATTGTATCATTTATTATATTTTTATTATGGTTATAACACTAGCCTGTCAATTCCTTAAGAGCAGGAATGTTGTCTTCTCAATGTTTTATCTTCTGCAGTCCTGCGTGTGGCGATGTGTACAACTTGGGCCCTCACTAAAATTTGTGAAATAATTAAACATCTCATCAAATACACAGTAGCTCTTGAATTTATCTCCAATCTCTCATGATTTTCCCCTCTAATATAATGTATTATACCATTTTTTTCATGTGTATTAATATTGGACAATTCACATATTTGAATAAGAAAAGTAATTCAAACAATAAAGTTATTCACTTATAACATATCTTTAAAATCCCCTTATAAAAGTAACCTTCCTGATTATTATGAATGATAATATTTTCCAGGAATTTATGGATTTCCTGTTTCTGATTTGAAATGAGAAAGATGCTGTAGAGAAGACATCTATCTATCTATCTATCTATCTATCTATCTATCTATCTATCTATATGCATGTTTTCATGATCTCTCTGCTTCTAGTCCTTCCTTAGCTTCCAGAGATGGGATGATCCTTTTACAAACAAATCTAGTAATGTCAGTCTGTATCATACAAACAACTAGGTAATCATGTTAGATTATGTTATTATCCATAATATATTCTCTTTCTTTTCTAATAACAGAGCAAGATTAGTAGACATTCCTGATGAAATAGTAACCATGGTTTCTCTCAAATTTGCAGTCTACCTGAAAATTAGCAGAATGTATAGGTGTTGACTACCTATACATTATCCATTAGAGGTAGATCATGTTAGACTTAGCTGCAGCTCACCTGCCAGCCTCAGTTCTACCACAAGCCTAGAGTTAGCCAGTGATCCACCTGAACCCATCTATTTTCAGAAACCCAAAAATATCATTAATGTTTACGAGGAGGTAAAAACATGCAGTTTGCTCTCATTTTATTCATTTCACTTTGCATTTATTCTGTTTATAGGTCTGGTCCCTAGTGACTTCTAGGAGCTTAAGTGTGAGGCATTGGTTGTATAACTTTGAAGACCTATTAATTAACACGGTACTGTTAACAAAGAAAGAAGCCAACAGAAGTTTTTTTCTGAATAAATATTTTTCAAACAGAAGTATTCTCTACAGAATCTAAAAACCAAAAATTAGGTTATTACTCACAAAAAGGAAATCTAAAATGAAATTTTATTCTTACATTCCCAAGAAAATTGAAGAACTGCTTCCATTACTTTTCCTGTGGCTTTTTACCTTTAGTTTGTTTTTTATTTCAATAATAATAATAGCATTGCCTTTTAAATTTCTTGCTCAAAAACAATACAAAGCCATATAAAGATCATATATAAGAAGCTCATACATTTCAAAAAAATTTAAAGCAAGCATTGATATAAGCCAACAATTTAAATCAAATAGTAAGTCATCCTTACATTGTGAAACCGAACCAACTCTTAGAAGAGTTGTTTATTTTGTTTCAACCTCTAGGCTGAGTGTTAGCGGTTACTAGTCTTTGTGATTGATAACTATCTTAAACCATAGCAAAAATCAATATATGGTACCATTTTGCTGATGATGCTATAGACTAAAGGCTAAAATTTAACTTCTCACTTTGTGGTTTCTGGTATATGCCTGAGTATTATTTTGTTTTGTTTTTCCTTCCATTTTGGATTTGGGACAAGAAAAAAAATGCATTTTTAGTAAATGCTTACTTTTAAAATAAGACACTCTCCTTTTCACTGCTTCATAGATCTAACTGTTTCACTGAAAATTGCCAAGAGCATTGAACTTCAATATAAGAGTAGAGAGTAGTTTTCCCAACTGCATAAATGTATTATGTTCTGGACACTCTGAACTATTGACCTTCCCTATGAGAGAGATGCTGCTAAAATGTCAGTTAATCATAAAGCAGTTCCACAATGGGTTACCCAGAAGCAGAAGGCAATTTAAAAGAGCAATTTTAACATGCAATTGCCAAAGCATGCAACACAGACAATTTCTGATGATGGCATATTTTATTTCCATTTAATAAGAGAAAGAGAAACTGTATTTGCCTAGCTTCTATACCAGATGGTATACCCAGAGGAAATAGACACACAGAAAAAAAAAAAGCAAGCATACTTTCTCTGATTGTTCACTGGAGTTTCTGAATTACTTCCCTTTTAAGACAAATTAAAAATTTATGAAGTGCCTGAAGAAACATTATGTGAACAATAGCATGGGTCAGAGTATAAAGTAACAGCGAAATAATCATACCCCTCAGGTTCCTAGAGAAGCATGAGGTAGGCTTCAGTGGCTTCAGCCACTGGAGGCTGTAATTACCACCTCTCCTAAGTCAGAGACCCTGAAGCAACTAATTGCAGTTACCAAATGATTATAATGCACTTTGGAAGGAAAACAAACAAACAAAAAGCTTTGGCAACCAGACAGGATATTTTCAGAAAAGGATAAAGTACTTTTACACTTTAACTGTTTAAAGTATTTAAAACACAGCATATATTGGAGAGTTAAGCACTAATCAATTGGGCTTTCAATAAATGTGAAGTTGCAAATATTAACCTATATTTTCTCAGAGAATAAGTTAGCCATGCAGACTCTATTTTTTAAAATGTACATCTCTTCCAGACTTTACTTGTTGTGCTTTTATTTACTCATGCTATACTATTATAAGAGGGAGAAAAATCACCTATGATAGGAATAAGAGGAATAAGTATTAAGGCCGTTAAAAGTCTGAGAAAAGGAGTTGAGGCCCATCTGTCTGATATTGGACAAGTTACTGTTTTGTTTTTGTTTCCTGAGTCTTAAATTTACCAACTAAAAAGTGAGAAAATAATATATTTCACAGGATTGGTGTGAAAATAAAATATCATGATACATTCACTTCATATGTTGATTCTACACTAGCATTAATCCATACTTGGCCACAAAAAAACCTACATTTACATTTGAAAATGTAAAATTTATTTTTTATTATAAATAAGGAAAACCTTTGTATTGACTTGCTGGAAAATTATTTATTGACAGATTTCCATCAAATAAACATTTACTATTATCAGAAATAAAAGGTCAATGCCTCAAATACCTTAAAATGGAATTTTAAAAACAGTAAATTGTAAGTAATTTACTTTTTGATTGGTACTTATTTTTACAGCCACATAGTCTAACATGCAGGGACTATTAAAATAGCTACTTTAAAATTATCAACATTTATTCAATCAGATTATATTAATGGCAAATTCTACAACTGTAACATGGAATAGTCCCAGTCCTAATTAAAAAAGAATGGTTTATAAATCTAGTATTCAGTTCCTCTTATAGAACCAGTATTTAGGCATGCAGAATTTAACAAAATTAGATGGTAACTTCCTCCAAAGGTTATTTTTGGAGTCTCAAAGGTATTTCCCAAGATTATGAAGCATTTATAAGTTTTTGCAATCTGTACTAAAATTCAGTTAATATCATAGTTAACATAAACTGTGTTCTATTTTGTTGATATGAACTTCTGGGCTGAGGCCAGTAGTGGTATTGGTAATTTCAAGTCTGGGGGACCTGAAATTTGGGGAAAGGTAAATGGATCTTAAAGAAGGGAAGTGGATGAACATACATCATAATCCTAACTAACACTCTGTATTTAATTATACTATATATCAATTATGTTCCATTTCTTTTTATAGACTGTTTAAAAATTAATACAATATATACTTCCATAAGCTTCTCTTTATTTTCTAATAACAGAGCAAGATTAGTAGACATTCCTGATGAAATAGTAACCATGGTTTCTCTCAAATTTGCAGTCTACCTGAAAATCTAGTCTATAAGTACTTCCCTCCCCAAAAATCTTGCAGACATACCTTATGAGGACATTAATTAGCTATAATAAACATGTGATAAAAATTCACTACATGTGAAAGATAGTTTTAAAAACAAATAAACTTAATACTGTTGGGAGTAAAACTACAAGTGATTGAGCCTGAAAGCATTTTATGCCACAAAGAATACACAAATTAAATGTTTCTCAGAAAAAAGAATCAGATAAAAAGACAGTATAATTCCAAAATATCAAGACATTTATAAGTTAGAAAGCAGCTATGGGCCAGGCACGGTAGCTCACAGCTGTAATTCAAGCACTTTGGTAGGCCGAGGCGGGCAGATCACTTGAGGTCAGGAGTTCAAGACCAGCCTGGGCAACATGGTGAAACCCATCTCTACAAAAATACAAAAATTAGCTGGGCATGGTAGCGCATGCCTGTAATCCCAGCTACTCGGGAAGTTGAGACAGGAGAATTGCTTGAACGCAGGAGGCAGAGGTTGCAGTGAGCCAAGATCACGCCACTGCACTCTAGCCTGGACAATAGAGCAAGACAAAAAAGCAGCTATGAGTGTAAGTTAACTATCCTCATTCCCTCTCACATAGATAGGGCTATTCTCAGAATAAAACACTTCAAAGCACTTTATAGTAATATTTTTACTTAAACAGTCCAAAGTCCACTCAGAACATAAGTATGGGGATAAATCAATATTCAGTAACATGTTTTTATCCACTTAACACAGTATAACTGGCTTCAAAACACAATATTATTTACATGCAATCTCCATGGCTTTCACATCTGGAACCAATTTCAAATAATTCCTAAGTTAAACAAAAATTACATTATATTAACAATACACTGTGTGGTAATGCTAATTTTTTAAAGACCTATTTTGACGAAAATAAAAAAATAAAGCAGGTGAGATATTTAAAAGAAAGTAGTTTGGGCACAGGAAGTCAAGAGGGAAATCACTGGAATACCAAATTGTCAAAATTGTTAAAATTTATATGTACATTATAAATGTATGTATATGTAGAAAAGTGTAATTTTATTAGAAAACATGTATGCAGTATTCTTAGTAAAATGGACTCCATAGTTCAATTTTTCACATTAGCATGGGATATTAATTTTGGAATAGAGAGTGAACTAATTTTTAGTTTCCAAATTGCTTCCTCTTTAAATGATTTCTCTGACTAGTTGAGATTATGGGGTCAACTTGCCTCTCCCTCAGAAAGTTTATCTTCTATCACAGAAACAATTTGTCACATGACCTCGATTGAAAGGACATAGACATACAGAATATTTGAAAAGCAAATTGTGAGATTTAGGCTGAGCCATGGAAATTTACCCAACATCTTCTAGCTTAAGCTCCTTTTCAACAACCAGATAAATATATACAGCAATCAGCAAATTATTGGACTCTCTATCATCTAAGTCTCAGGCTAATAGTTGAGAAGTTAAATTTCCTATTAGTAAACATCTTTCAGCAGGAGTTTTTGATATATAAATATGATGCTGGACTAAAAAATATGTTCTACGATACATCAGGTAACTGAATGGGTTTTGCTTGGATGGTAGCTCAGTACTCCTGGTGGGTAGCCCAACAATACTGTCAATGATAAACAGATGCTCAAGAAACAAAAGACAAAATAAACACTACACTAAAAATGTAGTCAAGTAAATTAGATATTTAAACTTTTTATTGGCTTTTAATTAATAGCTAACAATTCCTCCCATTATAACATGGTAAAGAACCAGGATGTGTGGTTATATACAATTTTTTAATTTTCATTTTTTTTGTGTTTTCTCCATACACTATTATTTTCACTACTCAGTTTTAGTCATGAGGAAGGCAACAGAAAGGCTTAAAGTGTAAGGAAAATCTCTCTGTGTTCTGCAGCTGGGTGTCAAGCTCCTGAGGTAATCCTCAACAACAGGACATTCTGAAGAAAATAGTTATCTCAACGAGGCATTGTCCAGAGTAACTTTTCTTATCCATATTATAAGATGTGGCCTTTACACTGACTGTAACAAAATTACTGAGGGAGAGAATTTCCACGTAGTAAAAAAGTATTCGGTATTTGCTTGAACTAAAATGATCTTTTCTCTCAATAATGCTTTCAATTACAGCTATCAGAGATTTTTGGACTGAATATGTAGCAGGCTCACCAAAACTACCATGCCAAAAAAGGACTCTAGATTCATAATAATAATGGCTTGAGAATAGAGAAGCACTCCCATGTCCTCAAATCAGTCAAATTATGACATAATCAAGGTGATGATTTATGTAATTCATTGGAACTCTTAATAGTGTGACTATATCATATATCAAATAATGAGAACCTTCAACACTGCATGTATTAATGTGTCTTATGCTAGATTCCTTCACAAGGTAGAAAAGGTCTGCTACTCAGTCTTACCTGCACATTTTGTTCTGGTGATTAGTGGAGGTCCTGGGAGCCCCGTTCCACCTTCACCAGGTCTTGTAAGTAGAACTCGGATCTCATATTCGGTATCTGGATCTAAATGCCATAATTTGTAAGTTGGAGCATTGACTGCATGGGTTTCTGTCCAGGATCCTGATGTCATTCGGTACTCTACTTCTTTCAGGATGATAGGACCATCGCCAATGATCGAGTTGGCATTTAGTTGGATCAGCAAATATGTAGGCCCAACACCAAGAAGCTGAGGAGGAGCAATGGGTCTTGGCGGTTCTAGGAGAGATGAGTGTGCACTTCAATTAGTAAGATTTAAAATAATACAAAGATATATTAGTGTCTAATAAGGCCTAAATGCTTAATGGATCATTTATTAGAAATGCATAATAAATACTTGAAAGAAAACTAGAAGACGCATGATCTGACAACTGTACTTTTAAAGAACATATAATTTTGCAAGTGCATATGACTATTTTAACATAATTTTCCTGTATTAAAAACACATTTTTTTTCAGGAGATCAACTTGTAAAGTCACAGTATACAAAGGAAATAAAAAGAAAATATTTAGATATGGATAGCTCTAATTAGCTACTAAGAGAGTAGAGTTGATCTTTGACAATTTATTTCATTCACAAACTATGCCCAAGAGGTATTTTTCTTTTTGCTTTCCTTGTTACTTCTTCACAGTTTCTACAGATGAGTAAAGGAAGAAAGAATAACATAACCGAACTCAGAAAGTGATGCCAGGTGCTAACTTGTTTCTACAAATCTGCCTCACAGTGTGACAAATTTAAATTTACACCTAGGCACAATCACAAATCACTAAACATCACTGGTCTTTGGGAGCAGCATAAGATAAGGCAATTCACCAACTATTAAACTCAAATATCAAAGGCACACTATAATTTAATTTTGGATATCTTAAGATATTCTGCTTGAAAGAAACTTTGGAAAACATTATTTCAACATTTGTACTTACAGAAAAGTTGAATGATATATTAAGGCACTTTTTTTTTCTTTCATTAGAACAATGTGACTGAAATGAGACACCGAACTTTATGAAGGACTCAACAGCTATAGCTCTGTTCATATGGTCTTTCCACAAGGGATAATAACTCATAAAGTTCTTTGAATTCCTGGAACACTTCTCACTTTTCTCAGGAAAGTCAAAAGACCTAAAGAAAGTGTTAATAAAGTAGTAATTGCTCAAAAATTAATTTAAAACTTTTTTTAAGAGTTGGAGCAAATCACATAAACTATTAAAACACAACCACAAAATGCTCCCTCAGTCCAACCCACTACAGGTACGGGGTGGACTGAAGAAGGTACAAATAGAGGGAAGTCATGAGCACATAATCAATATCTTTCTAGTTGGATTTTTTGTTTCAATGGCAATGCATTGCATGAAAAATATACAATGCAAATAAGGCCTGTAGACAGGTTTTACCTTCTTATGCAGGTTTAAATGAAACAAGAATGTTCAGGTGCAGACCAGGATTTTCTTTTTAACCCTGATTGTATAAAAGTATAGTTTCTAGCTTAAAAGCCTCTGAATTACAAATAACCTTAAAATTAGGAATAAGATTATCTGGTCTGTACAGCTACACAGGCTAAAGTAATTTTCAAGAAGATTCTTTCAAAATTCATATGATAAATATTAATTGAGTAGCTATTAATTGTTAGGCTGTCCTACACATTGGGTATCCATATAACATTGTAGGGGAGACATAGTAAAAAGAAATCAATGAATTCATTATTTTAAACTGAAATTTATATAGGAAACAAAAAGAAGACTGATAAATAATGAATGTAATATCAATATTTTTTGTCCAAAATCACTTGAAGGACATAAGTAACTCCTCACAAGTATTCATGGCTCATTATGGCAGTAACTTTTAAACTAATTATTTGTAGAACCACATGACCTTGGGATTCACTGGGCTCATGTTTAAAACAAAAACAAAACTAAGATCAAAGATGATAACATATGCTATATGAAGTGCAAACATTTATAATTTCTATAGAAAAGTGGTTAACATATGATTTACAAACTTTAACTACAACATCCATTCCTGATAGTTTGCAAATTGTTTCAACAATATGTAGTCAAAATTGCATAGTAAGTGAACTCTTTCCAATTTCACGACTGAATTCAACGGAGAAGTTATTCACAAAAGAAAAAAGTTTGAATAAAATAAACACAGTTTAGAATTTTCACTTATCAACTATGAAAGACAGAGCTAGACATTTCATACCATGAAATTTTACCAACTGCTCTAACAACTTTTGTACTCAGAGTTTTAAAAAGTTTTTGTAGAGAGGGAGAAAGTTGATATATTCTCAAACCCTAAACTAAAATGAAACTGAATCGAGAAGTGAACATAATAGAAAAAATGTAAATGTCTTCCGAGATTACCTAAATGCTGCACATATTTTAAGAAGCAGTCTGTATTTTGTGAATAAACTGAGTTGCCTCATATGTGCAATATTTGTTTTCATTCCAGATGGCTCATATACTAACTAATTTAAGTTGGAAAGAATGCTAAATTCACATCTCGCTGGGGTGCTACCCCAGTGTAGGGATAGAATAAACAGTCACAATATGCCAAGTGAATTATATATAACAAACCTTGGTTAATCATAAATTTATAGATATTCTGAAACCTGAACTTATGTGAGTATATCAAATGGTAAATCTCACCAATCAAAACTCTGCACACTCTTGCTATGGAAAATAAGGAGAAAACCTAAGAGGAGAGCAAAAGATGAGAGAGGAAGGAAAGAAAAAATAGCCATACCGCAACATAAGAAACAAGTGAAAGAAAGAAGAGAAATAAGTGAAACAGTAAAGCACAACATTAATTCCAACATTTCTATCTTTAAGGAAGTGATATATAAAAGAAAACAAAAATTTGTAGTCTGGAAACCTAATATGAAAAAAATGCTTACACATTAATAGCTGTGTAATCTTAAATATGTTATTTAACTTTTTCACATTATAATTTATTCATTCGTGCACTAGGCATTATTTGAAGAATTTTTGAAGACTCAACTCCTACATACACCAACAAGCCCTGTGTGATGCTAGGTTGCTTTGTTCTGTTTTGCCATATAGCATATACATTTTAACACTGAAAATTAATATTCAACACTAGTGTTGTTTGTATATGAAGAAATAAGTTTGATGTAATCAGTCAAGACTTGGTCAGAAGGGTAGTAGTTCACTCTGGCCAGTTTTACATCTCACTTTCCATGGTCAGGCCAAAAATGGGGGCAGTCCAGCATCAAAGCAATTGCTCAAATTTGGAAATGTGGCAATGTTAAGAGAGGCTTAAAAGCATATGTATTGATTAACAGCATGATTTTAAGATGTAAAATCTAGCATTAATGAGGCTAATATACCACTACATATTAAATTTTTATGTTGGAGGTAAAAAGTAGCTTTATATTAGCATATGTATTTTGTTTTCAGGCCCTTGATAACAATGGGGCTTATTTATAAAATTTCTATTCATTTCAATAAATTATGCATGAATTTTAATCAGTTCACAAATGAACAAGTAATCGTTCTGCAGCAATATTAATATTCTTCATAACAATACACAACCAGACCCAGAAGTGAGGTGCGAATAAATCCCAGTTGTACAGGAGGTATCAAATGAAGCATGCAATCCCCAAAATATAAGATAAACTTTGCCGATGTTACCAATTAACTTCCAATTAATGACTTACATTCATTATTCTAGAACTGAACCTATTATAAAACCCGAATTATATATTCAAATTGTTTTATTTTTATTTCAAATAATTTTTAAAAGTGTCTTGAAATCAAGCAAATCATTATGAAAAAATACTCCCATTCAGTTATTCCTATTATAATGTTATTTTACAAACACATGTGTCACTTAGCAAAATTCAGTTAACTAATAAAATGCAGAATAAAAAATAGAAGCCATAAATCCAGGAAAAGTCAGCAACAAAGTAAATGTCAAGGCAAAAAATACTTCTACATTTAATTTCCCAATTAGATAAATTAAATACCTCTCAATCCTACCTCCTTCCTAAGGGTTTTATTTGTCAATGGGGCCTTGACATAAAGTATCGTAAGATTAGTCCTACCACTACAGAAGGAGGCAATGATATTACATTATTCTCCTATGGCTGCTGCAACAAATTACTACAGACTTGGTGGCTTAAAACAACAGAGATTCTCTCCAAGTCCTGGAAGCCAGAAATCTGAAATCAGTACCACTCGGTCAAAATCAAGCTGTCAGAAGGCCGTACTTCCTATAAAGGCTCTAGGAGAAAATCAGTTGATTGAGTCTTCTAACTTCTGGTGGTGCTGGTATTCCTGTCCCTCCAAATTCCTTTCATTTGTTCACAATGCCTTCTCCTCTCCTGTCTGTAGTCAAATCTCCCTCTGCCTTCCATATGGATATGGATGCTTGTGATTGCAGTTAGGCCCCATATGTATAATCCAGCATCTTCTCACCATTTCAACATCCTTAACTTAATCACACCTGCAAACATCATTTTTCCATATAAGGAACATTACAGGTTCCAAGGATTAGAATCTATTTGGGGGGCATTTTTCAGCCTACCACAGACATGGACTATGATCTCATCCTTCCTCCTGCCAGATATTTCAACTCCACTTTTTCTCCAGTTGGTAGGAAGCTTGTGAGCAGAAAACACTTCACCTACAAAAGTTTCTGAGCTGGGTCCAGAGTAGCAGATTATTTAAGAGTTAATAATTTATATATATATCATATTTTACTCTTTTTCTTTTTTTTTTTTTTTTTTTTTTTGAGACAGAGTCTCATCTGTTACCCAGGCTGGAGTGCAATGGAGCAGTCTCGGCTCACTGCAACCTCTGCCTCCCGGGTTCAAGCTACTCTCCTGCCTCAGCCTCCCAAATAGCCGGGACTACAGGTGCATGCCACCACACCCGGCTAATTTTTGTATTTTTTAGTAGAGACGGGGTTTCGCTATATTGGCCAGGCTGGTCTCAAACTCCTGACCTTGTGATCCTCCCACCTCGGCCTCCCAAAATGCTGGGATTACAGGTGTGAGCCACCACACCTGGCCCATATTTTTCTTTTTACTATTTTTTGTAAAAGGGAAAAACAGAGATGATGAAAATCATGTTTTACAGGAGTCCACTGCTCTATTAACACATTCAACACTAGAATGTTTGCCCTGCAGATGGAATTTTTTTTATTTGTTACCATTTCTTTACTTAAATGAAAGAATCACTTTGAAGTCAGTTTTACTCTGTTTCTTTATAATTTCCCTCACTAAAATTTTTATCCAGTTCTGGTTCCTGTTAGACAACAAATTCACAGTGTTTCTCATTGTTTAATTTTCTTCCCCATCACCTACTAGAAGTGCAAGTAAATGGACATGAGGGAGGCTAAGAGGAAGAAGAAAGACATCATTGGACCATCTAATTCAGGCATTTATCAGCTACCCCTACAATAATTTTAAATGATTTTAAATTATGTCAACAAGTTGGTAACATAATTTAATAAATTCTTGAGCATTTCAAGAAACTTAATATTACTGATGAATAGAAAGATGACCTTTGCTCCCATAACAAACAGAAAGCAGGTTATTCATATTTAGAAGCAATTTATTTGGACATTTAATATCATATGTATAACAACACAATTTAACTTTTCCTTAGATGTTAAAATAAGAAGTATACATTTGAAAATTTTAGATTTAATAAGGTTTCTCCTACACTGCCAGTTTAAAAACTGCAACCCAGATATATTTATGAGAATTCTTTCATGATTTCACACTGTTATTTTTCTGATACTTCAAATTTTCAGTTCTCACAAGTTCCTTGGGAAGCCAAACAACTCATCATAAATTTAGCTCATATTTTAGCTCACAATGCAGTCAGCAAATTCTATAAATTTTTTAATCTAAATTACTATTAAGTTTTATTTACTTTGTACACTGATAGAATTGAGTTAAATTTGTTTTATTATGTTAAAATCTATTCTTAAACCCATCAATTCAAGTGATAGATACCTTTTTTTTTTTTTTTTTTTTTTTTTTTTGACAGAGTCTCGCTCTGTTATCCAGGCTGGAGTGCAGTGGTGTGATCTTGGCTCACCACAACCTTGGCCTCCCAGGGTCAAGCAATTCTCCTGCCTCTGCCTCCCAAGTAGCTGGGATTACAGATACTTGCCACCACGCCCAGCTAATTTTTGTATTTTTAGTAGAGATGGGGTTTTACCATGTTGGCCAGGCTGGTCTGAAACTCCAGACCGCAGGTGATCTGCCCACCTCAGCCTCCCAAAGTGCTGGGATTACAGTTGTGAGCCACCAGGCCTGGCCTGGAGACCTTTTTCAAATCATATTACTCAGGTGGCTCATAAGCTTGTACTGGTCAAATAAAGTTAATGCTAAGACATCACAAAGTTTGGATGTTGGGACCTGAGGCCCCTATGCCAGTACCTATGTAGGTATCAATCAGAAGGAGCTACCACTATCTACTACCATCTCTATGAAAATTCGATTGGTGTCTGCATATAGCTATGATGAACTAAAGAAAGAGTGTGTACTGTGCCCCCATGCCTATGCTTACAATATTTCACACACGAGTAACTTCTGAGAACCATGAAATAAGCACACATGATTTCACAGTGGTAAGTAGGTAGAAAACTTTAGATAAAAGGGGAAAAAAGAATTACAAATAATAAAGTATCTATTTAATGGGATATTATATATGTTTGTTTATACTATATTTTTATTACTGTTAATTATATTCAGCTAAACAGAGTTTCTTCATTCTCTCCCAGTGGCTCCCTACTGGGGGCAATTATTCAAAAGCCAGGCACAGAAAGACAAATACTGCGTGATCTCACTTATATGTGAAATCTAAAAAGCTTGAACTCATAGAAGCAGAGAGTAGAATGGTGGTTACCAGGAGCACCGGGGCAGGGCAGGGGCAGGGCGGGGAGTTTGTAGGGAAATGGAGAGATGTTCAAAGTGTACAGAATTTGTTCAGATGAATAAGTTTTGGAGGTCTACTATAACTATAATATAGGTAAGTATAATTAATAATAATTTATTATATATTTCAACATTTCTATGAGAGTAGATATTAAATATTCTCACCACAAATAAATGGTGAGATGATAAATATATGGTAATTAGCTTGATAATTATTTCAAATTGTATACATATACCAAAAGACCACATTGTACAACTTAAATATATTCAATTTTATTTGTTAATCATAACTTAATAAATCTGAAGCGAAAAAAAAAATCTCTAGTCCAAAACAATAATAGGTTCCTCTAGAACAGCTCAACAATGTAGAAAATAATTTTAACAATGCTGAAAATAATAAATTTACCACGTATCCCTACCTAAAACTATATCACTTATATTTCCATTTTTCAAAAGGGCAATGGAGCAGAATTTTGAGGAGGAGAGTGCAAGCTCTGTGGCTGTGGCAGTGATCATTTATTCACACTGGCTTGACTGTGGCCAGGGAAACACAGGGAAATGGGCATGTGACTACACGAATTGCTCACAGGCAAGTGAACTGATAACAGTATTTTTGGAAAATAATTTATGTATCAAGAAATAGATATGTGTAAAGTAATAACACTTTGGGAAATTTATCATAAGGAGATACTTTCAGTCTTTGCTTAAAAGTAAAGTAAAAACTTGATCAAAATAATCAGTGATGGGAAAATGGGAGGTAAATCATGGTGTAACTTCTCAACAGAACACAAGTTATAAAGATTATTAGTTTTCACTTTCAAAAGTAAAAAGCATACCCCTGAAAAAACAAAATCAGCAACCACCAAAAGCAAAAGAAAACATACCAAAAAGTTAATAGCAGTGACCAGGGAACTCCAGGACCATGAGTGACTTAGCTTTTTCTTTTATCCTTGTTTTTCAATACAATTTGTTAGGTGCCCACAAAACATTCTCATCATTACATTCCCAGTGTTTCTTTTAGCGCCTGACAAAGTTCAATACTATTATTATAGAATGAATGACTGCCTTAACAATGCCCCAAAGAAAAAAAGTTACCCATGCCACCGTAAGAAAAACTTATCAGCTGGGAGCAGTGGCTCATGCCTGTAATCCTAGCATTTTAGGAGGCTGAGGAAGGCAAATCGCTCGAGCCCAGGAGTTTGAGACCAGCCTGCGCAACATGGTGAAACCCCATCTCCACAAAAAATACAGAAATTAGCCAGGTGTGGTGGCAGCTGTGGTCCCAGCTACTCGGGAGGCTGAGATGGGAAGATCACCTGAGCCTGGGAAAGTTGAAGCTGTAGTGAACCAGGATCACGCTACTGCACTCCAGTGTGGGCAACAGAATGAGACCCTATATCAGAAAAAGGGAAGGGAAGGGAAGGGGAGGGGAGGGGAGGGCATGGAGGAAGCGGGGAGGGGAGGAGAGGGAGGAAGGGAGGAAGGGAGGAAGAGAAGAAGGGAGAAAGGGAGAGGGGGAAGGAGGGAAGGAGGGAAGGAAGGAAGGAAAAAACTACGTAAATTCTACCTAGTCCACATTTTAAAATGTACACTTCAATGTAAGAATCGACACTTGGAGAACACAATACCCAAACTTTATTTATTTACTTATTTAATTTTCAGGTGTTAACATTAAGCCCTTAAAAAGTAAGATGTAACATCTCACACTCTGAACGATGTAGCAAGCCAAATGCCCTGACACTGATACATAGCACCTACAAATTGTTACTCTTTAATTAAAAGAGTTAGTTGACTGGAACAAAAGAACACATTCTAAGCAACTGCTTAGTGACCAAGTGGAATCAAATGATTTATCCAGCTTGTGAAAAAAAAAAAAAAAAAAAAAAAAGGCACAGCTACAATTCTAGCATTAATTTTTTTTGTCTTTTCTACAAATCACATCAATTAAAATGTTTTAAGTATTTTCCATGTGAAGAAAACACACCGATTTATATATTTTAAAACTAATTCGAATACACAAGATCAATAAGAAATTGTATATAATTGTACTAATACTTGTGTGTGTGTGTGTGTGTGTGTCCCTTGAACAAAAATTTAATTCAGGGTAGGAGAAAATTCTGATGCTAAATATGCTGCTCTTCATATTCAACAATGATTTTGTCTCTCAAGTCCCCATGTGATATGTATTCAGTTTTTGAAGTGCAAGATCTGTAGAATTACAGTATTTAATGTCTATGACATGGCTCTTTCCTGCTGCCTAAAGTGCTGAAATAAGAAGAATCATTTCAGCAATGAAACTGCAAATTTTGCATACTGAATTTTATATCCTATGCATTACCATGGCGTTTTATTCACCTTGATTTGAAAACATTGCTGCAATAACTTTATTACCTGCTTGAAATAAAAAGGCACAGCTGCAGCATACTGTTTTAGATGTCAGCAGAAACTAAAACAAGGTTAGGTTCATATTTAGGGTGGATGAAAAGGTGATGGAATTTTAAAAAGTAAGTTTATGTGTCCTTTAGCTCATAATCAAACTATAGGGAAACTAAAAAGTAGCGTCTCATTTTGTCCAAAACTACTCTCTTCATTAATATCCATGTAGTGAATTGGTTTAGAATGATAAATCGCAATAATATTTATATATATATTATTATTATTATTATTATTATTATTATTATTATTAGGAAACGGAGTCTTGCTCTGTTGCCCAGGCTAGCGTGCAGTGGCATGATCTCAGCTCACTGCAAGCTCCACCTCCTGGGTTCATGCCATTCTCCTGCCTCAGCCTCCCGAGTAGCTGGGATTACAGGTGCGTGCCACTATGCCAGGCTAATTTTTCTGTATTTTTCGTACAGACGGGGTTTCACCGTGTTAGCCAGGATGGTCTCGATCTCCTGACCTCGTGATCCACCCGCCTCAGCCTCCCAAAGTGCTGGGATTACAGGCGTGAGCCACCGCGCCCGGCCAATTATAGCAATAATTTTAACAACTTTACAAAAGCCTCTCTCAGTACTACAGTCAACATGGTGGCAAACCATGTTATGATGAAAGTTATGAATCCCTATGAATGACTCATAAGCTAATAAATACAGAAGATTTTTCTCATGGTCATTTAATACCTCATTTCAGCTTTGTCAGAGCTCAAACTGTTCATAGTATTTCAAGAAAAGAACATCCAGTTGATTCCAGGAATAACAATCAAGTCAGCAATAAAACTAGGAAAGCCTTTAACTCTGTTCAGTTCACTGAAGTCTAGGGCCATAAACAGGTGATCACCTCACCACATCATCAGTCACCTTTAAGAGCTAGGAGACTTTTTAAAAAATATATGGTTGGAGAAAGGAAGGGAACTGTGTTTGTCAATGGCAATATATGTCCCAGTTACTTGTTGAATATGCCTAGATTATATAGCACTGGCTATTATTCCATTCTAGATTATAGGCAAAAGGACTTGGAGTACAATAACACTATCCACATTCATTTCATATTAAGACACAATGGCTGAATCCAGTAAACAAGATATCAATTTTAAAAAAAACCTACTGCAAAATCTCTATAATGAGAATATAATCTCTATTTATAGATGTGTGTGTGTAATATACATATATGCAGACACATACACATATGTAAATATATGTGATATGTATATATAGTTTAAAAAAATTATTAAAAATATCCTGAATCTTCCACATCTAGAATATAAATACATTTGTAAAATGTCATCAGCCTAAATTCCAAATTTTAAGAAATTTGAAACCTATGTAATTAGAAGATTTTTGTGACACTTAGTTGTAACGAAACCTAATCTAAGTTTGCCAACTTACTCCCCAGGTCTAAACACTCCATTGTGATGAGTCTTTGTAACATACAACGTACAAGCATATTATAAATACATACTTTGTAATCATTTCAAGTCAATACCAAATAACGAAGTCAATATTAAGCACATGAAACCAACAACTGATGACCATTTTAAAATGTAATGACTCAGACCTGCAATAAATCAGGAGACACTACTTGCATCCTCCACTCAATGACCCTGGTTTCCAGTCAGGTAAAATGCAAAACTTTATTTACCCTAAGTTAATCAGGGGAATTATTATCTACCTATTATTTCTACATGTCTATGTAGGGTACAGAGTCACGATGACTTGTCCAGGCATATCCCTGTATGTACAACTAATATATTTACTTTTTTACGAAAAAGGAATTGTGATGACATAGTAAAACTAATGGAACAAGACCTCAGTCATATATAAAATTCCACTAGATAACAGGATTCATGTATGTACTACTAACTCCAAAGCAGTCATAGTTATAAGCCTCTCTTTGGATCAAAAAAACATAAATCTTCAGAGACTTATTTAAAGATCTTCATAGCAAAGAAAATTTGTCATTAGCTTATATAGATCCAACTAAGTTTTATAACGTAAAAATTCTCAATATATATTTATTCAGGGACATCAAATGATATTAATTAGCAATTGTCCAAAATAGCCTCAATTTTGGAATTAAACAAAAAACAATCATGTGTCTTATTGGATTAAGAGATACAGAACTTTTAAGGAGAAATGAGTTCACTACATGGAGTCACTGACTTTAGGTAAGCTATCCTGATGGCAATGATATAAAAAAGTCAGGTAGACATGACCTGGGAACCAGAGGACAGGTTATTACGTACTTCTAATAAGTCTTTCAACTAAGAAAGGCAGGTTTTCATGGGCAATTGGAGAATATGTAGGCTTAATGATGGGGGAAGAAAAAAGAGAATGCATTAAAGCAGATCTATCAATATGGTTACTATAAGGACTTCTGAAAAAATATTTTAATCATCTAATTCTATTACCATTCCTTTAGGGGCCAAAATACCTGTCCTCAATAATCAAAGTGCTATCAAAATCACCACACCTAGTTTTATAAATAGATGGAAGCTGAAGGTTGGCAATAATTATAGACCCATCTGATAAAATAACAAGTTAATAATATTTTTAAGATGCTTAACCATGTAAAAATAGTTACCTGTTCAAAGACATTTTATACCAGTGTGACAGCCAAGCCAGCAAAAGACCTTTTATTTCAACTCCCCTTGAACACACTCACTTTCACACCTTAATGGGGCATCTGACATTCATAGTATCAAAATAAGTCATATCATCCAAAATATGAAATACTGGAAGGGAGTCCTAGTTCTATAATCCAACATGCACAGCAAGAGAAATTTCCAGGCTAGTAAAATAGTTTCTAGAGCACAAGTAATGCAATTACACAGCTAAGGAGTTGGGTTCTTCTTTCACAGCTACTGTTCCTAAGTAACAAGAGAGCTTCCTAGTCTACTTTGATAAATACCATGCCTTTAAAAAATAAGGACATAAAATGGCTACCAATCCAGACTATTCATATACTCTTTTCTGTAAATTTCAAATTCCCTATCCTTTTCCACGCTCAGCCAGGTCAGCTGAAAATTTGCTGGAGAAAAGAACCATAAGACATAAAATGGCACTAATATTTTCATAGATATTGAAGATTCCTGAAAATATTACCTCAATCAGTGGATGTAAGACGAATAAAGAATTGAGAAAGGAAGGCTACTATTTTAAACATTATAGAAAAAAGAAGAAGGTACCATGTTTCTTTGGTATGAAATTTTGTAAAATGATGCACTAATATAAGTTGATAGCTGAGAGATCTCCATATTGTAACTGAAGGGTATCAATTCCTGCTCCAGCGCCATACAATTACATTTTTTAATCTCTTTTGTTTTTTTCTTTTTTTTTTTTTTGGCTTAAAAAATTTACTTTAAGTTCAGGATACATGTGCAGAACATGCAGGTTTGTTACATAGGTATACATGTGCCACGGTGGTTTGCTGCACCTATCAACCTGTCATCTGGGTTTTAAGCCCCTCATGCATTAGCTATCTTTAAATGTCTATGTCCAGGTTTTAAATTAAAAGTCTGACATTGAACAAATGTCAAGATACTAAACTTGGAAATTAATCAGAGAAGTATACTAGATGTATCATTACTATACAGCATAATAATTTGCTTAAACTATAAAGGCACTAATTTGTACCTGGATATTTTGAAATCTACTTTCAAAATTTATTTTAATATATAAATGCAAATTATGTTAAACAGAGATATAAATGTACTCATTGTATATTTTCTTCTTTATAAAACCAATGTCAATTATGTGAGGAAAAAGAGATCAATGGTTAAGACTGTGCTCTCTAAACCAAGGTGTCCCCTAGGTGATATTCAAATTACACTCAGAATGGCTGGGGAGGGGGGACAATCAAACTATACTAGATAGATTTTTGTGACTATTACGGTAGACAACAAAAAGAACATGAAATAAAGGCACAAAATAACATTAGTCACTGCAATGGTCTGAAAATGCGCTACAAATTCTCTGATAGCACTCGCATTGAGAGGCTGGATCCCCTTCAATCCAGAGAGACCTCATGCCTGCCTCAACAAGTATAGTGCAGAGAAAGTGATGTAATGAGACCTAGAACACTTGTTCTAGGTGCCACCATTTCCAATTTTCAATTAGCCAGTGGCATTATCCCAATTCAAGTGCCAGACTTGTGCCAGATGATTCTAGCCTCCAGGAGTTTAAATCACCTTTAGCTGTTCAATTTGAGACTCTCAGCTCGGGACCCAAATATCATACTGGAGTGATCTATACATATCACCCAAATTTATAGCCCACAGAAGCTGTGAACACTATAAAATGGTTATTGTTTTATGCCACTAAGTTTTATGATGCAGCAGGTGATAAATAGAACTCTATGTCTTATTAAGACAGCTGAAAGTAAACTTCTGAGAAAGATGCAAACTTCCTAAAATAAATGCACTGCCCTTTCATGATCTGTCCCCTGCTCATCTGTCCAGCCTCATGTGTTATCACTCTTCAAGTCCAATTATATGTTCACATTTAACAACTTGTGTTTTCCATGGGAAACTCTTCTCTTAAAATCATCCCACCTTGAGTTGAACAACGAGAACACATGGACACAGGGAGGGGAACATTATACACCATGGCCTGTTGTGGGGGTAGGGGGCTAGGGGAGGGATAGCATTAGGAGAATTACCTAATGTAGGTGATGGGTTGATGGGTGCAGCAAACCACCATGGCATGTGTATACCTATGTAACAAAACTGCACATTCTGCACAAGTACCCCAGAACTTAAAGTATAATAATAAAAATCATTCCACCTTTATCCTATACTTCCTAGAGTGTCTTTTTGCCATTTATACACTTAGCAAAGTTATCTATCTTCAAATTTCAGTTCAGTTATTACTGCCTCTGAAAACCTTTCTCACTACACTCTCTTCAGCCTGAAATAAACGCACTTTTTCTGGTAAGAGATTTACCTATATTTTTTGCCTCTCTCTTCACTTACTGACTTTCTTGAAGGCAAGGACTGTATATTGTTTGCCTTTGAATTACATTTATGTCTTCAGTGCAATCAATATTTGTTGAATGAATGCACTTATGAACAAATAAAAGTATTAACATAAGAAGATAATTAGAAATGGAAAGCAAGATAATGTCAACTGTTGGTGAAGATGTGAAACTTTATGCTTGCAAGGTGGAGTATAAATTATATGAGAAATTAAGAAAATTTTTTGCCAGTACCTCCTTGAGCTGAAAATCAGCATACCCTATGACCTAGCAATTCCGCTTTCAGGTACGTGCTACCCCAAAATGATCCCATCTGTTCCTGAAAAGTCATATAGTAGTATATTCAAATACTGCTATTGTAAATAGCTCAAGGTGAAAAAGAACCAAATGTCTATCATCAGAAAAATGAATAAATTGTGGCACAGTCACACAACAAGATTTCATAACAATGATGTTCTATGATGCATAGCTACATGCAGCAATACAGATTTCACAAACTTAATGCTGAATGAGAGAAACCAGATAAGAGTATAAACTATTCATATGTAAGATGCCATATACCTGTTACTTATTAATGTTATAAACCAAGAACAGTGGTTACTCTGGGGGAAGAGGTTATTAACTAGAATGGAATGAGGTAGCACTTCTGGGGTGCTGGTAATATTCAACAAGCTATATATACATTTATCAAACTATATGTTTAATATACACTTTTCCATATGCCTACAATATATCAAGGAAGGAAGGGAGGGAGGGAGGGAGGGAGGGAGGGAAAGGGTAGGGAAAGGGAGGAAACAAACTAAACTCTTAACCAGAAAATCCACCAACTCCCACAAGGGCCAACCCCCGCAAGGGCCACTAAGTAGAAGTGGAATCTCATCCTGAGATTTAACATTTAAAGCCAGCATGTATGGCAAAATCTAATTCCTTCAAAATTTCTCTTGAAAATTCCTAAATCAATCACAAACATGGGCGTCTATGTTTTTCCTTAAATGCTTCAATGTACCAGATCTTTTGACTTCTAAAGCAAGAGAATCCCCGAAATCAAAAGAAACATGAAGAATAGCCATCTGCAAAAGTTTAGGCATTCAAATGCTTCTGCCTATGAGATGGATCAAGTATAGGTTAGAAGGAGCAGTGGAGTTCTACAGCCATCTTTGTATGTTACATATATTGTGATGTGATTATACCACATAAAGGCATCAAGTAAACTTTTTTCTGCTTTCTAACTACAAGTTCTTCAGAATTACTTATTTGAATTCATCTATATATGATGGTTCATACATTTCCCAGAGCATCTCTCTATTATGAGAATATATTTCTTTTATGTAACATTATACTGGAATCATGCAAAGTTAGGTCTTTAATGTCTTGATATTATTTGTACTCTGCATTGCCACTGTTAGTTCAGAGAAAAATTCTGAACTCATCTAATAACATCTCTCTAGGTAAGGTAAGCAAATGTAGAAATGGAGCTACTCTGCAAATGAGTCATTTAAAAGGGGATTTAGCTCATGATTTGACTTTTATCATGAAGAGACATTTAGATTACATCCCTACTTAAGATACAAATTAGAGTAAACTTCCTCCACAGCATACATTTAAAGGTTTCTAGGCCAGGCAGAGGGCTCACACCTATTATCATAGCAATTTGAGAGTCTGAGGCAGGAGGATCACTTAAGGCCAGGCATTCAAGACCAGCCTGGGGAACACAGCAAGACTCCTGACTCTATGAAATATAAAGATAAAATTAAAAATAGCCAGTGTGGTGGTGCTCAGCTATCGTCTTAGCTACTTGGGAGGCTGAGGTGAGATTGCTTGTATCTGGGAGGCTGAGGCTGTAGTGAACCAGTCTAGGTGACAGAGAGAGACCCTGTCAAAAGTAAAATAAATAAATAAAAGTTTTCTAATGCTATTTTATCAAGCTGAAAATGAGAAGTCAATGGAGTGGTCTGAAAAAGAAAAAAAGACAGAAAGAGAGAGAGAAGAAGAAGAAGAAGAAGAAGGATGAGGAGGAGGGGGGGAGGAGGAGGGGGAGGGTGAGGAGGAAGAAGGGAGGGAAGGAGGGAGGGAGGGAGGGAGGGAGGGAGGGAGGGAGGGGAAGGGAAGGGACAGAGAGTCCAAAATTTTCATTGGACTTAATCAAAGATGATTGGGACATTAAAAGATCCTACCTTACTGAGCCTACCCTGGAAGGTGTTTTTAATTTTCATATTAATTAAAAATAGGTGCTTATGGACTTTCTTTGATTACTAAGCACTATGACTTTAAAAGAGGATAGGCTATTAAATTCTATGTAATTTATTTTTTCTACAAACAGGAAAGTGCTGAAACTCAAAGAATCTCATGATATTATTAAAGACATTGAAAACACTTCCAAAATTTTCTTAGCGCTACAAAGGCAATTCATAATTCTTGACATAAAATCCAAGAAAAATGTTCAGGGAAGAGGAGAAGAAAAATGCAAGAGCAATAGCAGAATAATTTCTTAACTTTTAATAAACCACACTTATGCCAGGCTCTGCCTAGATTCTAACAAAGCCATGCTGAAATCAAGGTTGAGTGCACATCCATGCACATGTGAGTGTGCATGAGTGTGTGCGTATGTTTACAGTAGTACATCAGAATCTAAAAAAAGGACATGTGTGGTAGTCCTAAATAGTTTCAAATATAAACTACATTTGATTTAGAAAGGAACACACGTCTCCTGTTCCTGTATTGAGAATCTACTATAAAATGATAGGTTTGGCCAGGCGTGACGGCTCATGCGTGTAATCTCAGCACTTTGGGAGGCTGAGATGGGAGGACTGCTTGAAGCCAGGATTTCAAGAATAGCCTGGGAAACATAGTGAGACCCCATCTCTATTAAAAAATATATATATTTTACTAAATCAAATTTTAAAAATTAAAAATATTAAATAAAATGGTAGGTAATAACTATCATGCTACTTGTTAGGGCAGGAATCAGTTAAAAATAGCAGTCAAGCAACTTAAAGGAAATGCATTGTTTCTAGAGACAAGATAATGACCCCAGTAACACAGTAGTAAGAATCATTGAAATTTAAGGGGTAAATCTCACAAATCTGTTTCTTATTCATATTTATGTAAAACTTGCTTCAAGTAGCAAGACTAGTATTAATAAAATTAACAATAATCTTATTAGTTGGAGTATCACTACCAATGAGTATGGAAAGTGAAGAAATTGATATATAGGCCCTGGAAAATGGACGAATAAAAGCAGATGCCATCTGTGGCACTTAAGGAGAGGAACGAAGGCAGAGAGTGAATTCAGCATCTTCCACTGAAATATCCAGGTTCTCACACTGGGACTGACTAGGCAAACAGCTCAACCCACGGAAAATGAAGAAAAGCAGGGTGGGGCGATGGCCCACTTCGGGGAGACATGAAGCCAAAGGAAGCCCCACTCCCAGCCAGGGGAAGCGGTGAGGAATTATGTAACCCTGCCCCGGGGAAACCACGCTTCTCCCGTAAATATTTGCAACCTGCAGATCAGGAGATCCCCTTGTAAGTTCAGGCTACTAGGGCCTTGGGTCCAATACACAGAGCTGTGTGATGTCCCAGCAGAGCAACCACTTAAGTACACACAGACACTCAGGAGTTTTGTATACTCTGGACCCGGGATTCCCAGGGAGGGTCACTACATACTCCTAGGAGCGGGGCTGAATACAGGGAGCCAAGCAGTGTTGTTCTGCAGGCCCCACTTCGAGGGCACTTCACAAGTTAAGACCAACTGGCTTGGAATTCCAGCCAGACAGTGCTGACAGGCTGACAGGCTCCGTCCACCTAAGAAGGACGGAGTTCCCCAGGGAAGGGGTGGTTGCCATCTCTGTGGTTCAGTCAACTCAATTTGAATTTGAAATAGAATCCCTGGATAGACCAATGACAAATTCTGAAATTGAGGCACTAATAAATAGCCTACAAACCAAAATAAAGCCCAGGATCAGATGGATTGACAGCTGAATTCTACCAGAGGTACAAAGAAGAGCTGGTACCATTTCTACGGAAACTAATCCAAAAAATTAAGAAGGCGGGATTCTTCCCTACCTCTTTCTATAAGGCCAGCATCATCCTAAATACCAAAACTTGACAGAGATACAACAGACAAAAGAAAACTTCAGGCCAACATCCTTAATGAACATCTATGTAAAAATCCTCAACAAAATACTGTTAAACCGAATCCAGCAGCATATCAAAAAGCTTATCCACCATGATCAAGTTGGCTTCTTCCCCGGGATGCAAGGTTGGTTCAACATACACAAATAAATAAATGTGATTCATCACATAAACAGAACTAAAGACAAAAAAACAAAAACAAAAACAAAAACACATGATTATCGCAATAGATGCAGAAAAGGACTTCAATGGAATTCAATATCTCTTCAGGTTAAAAACTCTCAATAAACCAATGGAAAAGACTTCAAAACAGTAACAGCCATATATGACAAACCCACAGGCAAAATCGGCAATATCATGCTGATTGGGCAAAAGCTGGAAGCATTCCCCTTGAAAACCAGTACAAGACAAGGACGTCATCTCTCACCACTCCTATTCAACATAGTATTGAAAGTTCTGGCCAGGGCAATCAGGCAAGACAAAGAAATAAAGAGTATTTGAATAGGAAGAGAGGAAGTTGAATTATCTTTATTTGCAGATGACATGATCCTATACCTAGAAAACCCCATCACCTCAGCCTAAAAGCTTCTTAAGCTGATAAGCAACTTCAGCAAAGTCTCAGGATAATCAATGTGAAAAAATTGCTAGCAGTCCTATACCCCAACAAGAGGCAAGCACAGAGCCAAATTCTGAGTAAACTCCCATTCACAATTGCTACAAAGAGAATAAAATGCCTAGAAATACAGCTAACAAGGGAAGTGGAAGACCTCTTCAAGGAAAACTACAAACCACTCCTCCAAGAAATCAGAGAGGACACAAACAAATGGGAAACATTCCATGCTCATGGACAGGAAGAATCAATGTCATGAAAATGGCCATACTGCCTAAAGTAATTTATAGATTCAATAGCATTCCCATTAGACTACTATTGATGTTCCTCATAAAATTAGAAAAAAACTATTTTAAAATTCATATGGAACCAAAAAAGATCCTAAATAGCCAAGACAATCCAAAGCAAAATGAACAAAGCTGGAGGCATCATACTACCCAACTTCTAGCTACAGTATAAGGCTACAGTAACCAAAACAGCATAGTATTGATACAAGAACAAACACATAGACCAGTGGAACAGAATAGAGAATTCAAAAATAAGACTATCCACCTACAACCATCTGATCTTTGACAAACCTGAAAAAACAAGCAATGGGGAGAGGATTCCCTATTTAATAAATGGTGCTGGGAGAACTGGCTAGCCAAATGCAGAAAATTGAAACTGGACCCCTTCCTTAAAACATATACAAAAATTAACCCAAGATGATTAAAGACTTAAATGTAAAACTCAAAACTATAAAAAGCCTAGAAGGAAATCTAGGCAATACCATTCAGGACATAGGCATGGATAAAGATTTCATGATGAAGACACCAAAAGAAATCTCAACAAAAGCAAAAATTGACAAATGGGATCTAACGAAAGAACTTCTGCACAGCAAAAGAAATTAACATCAGAGTGAACAAACAACCTACAAAATGGGAGAAAATTTTTGCAATCTATCCATCTGACAAAAGTCTAATATCCAGAGTTTATAAGGAACTTAAGCGAATTTACAAGAAGAAAACAACTCCATTAAAAAGTAGGCAAAGGACATGAACAGACATTTCTCAAAAGAAGACATATAGGCAGCCAACAAACATGAAAAAAAAAAAAGATCAACATCACTGATCATTAGAGTAATGCAAATCAAAACCACAAAGAGATACCATCTCATATCAGTCAGAATGGTGATTATCGAAGAGTCAAAAACAACAGATGCTGGCAAGGGTGTGGAGAAAAAGGAATGCTTATAAACTGTTGGAATGTAAATTAGCTCAACCCTTGCGGAAGACAGTGTGGCAATTCCTCAGAGACCTAGAGGCAGAAATACCATTTGACCCAGAAATCCCTCTACTGGGTATATACCCAAAAGAATGGAATCATTCTTTTATAAAGATACATGCATGTGTGTGTTCATTGCAGCACTATTCGCAATAGCAAAGACATGCAATCAACCTAGATGCCCATAAATGACCCACTGGATAAAGAAAATGTGGTACATGTATACCATGAAATACCATGCAACCATACAAAGGAATTGGACCATGTCCTTTGCAGGGACATGGAGAGACTTGGAAGCTATTATCCTCAGCAAACTAATGCAAGAACAGAAAACCAAACACCACATTCCGCACTTATAAGTGATAGCTGAATAATGAGAACACATGGATACATGGAGGGGAACAACACACACTGGGGCCTGTTGGATGGAAGTATGCGGGGGAGGGAGAGCATCAGGAAGAGCGGCTAATGGATTCTGAGCTTAATACCTAGGTGATGGGACAATCTGTGCAGCAAACCACCATGGGACACATTTATGTATGTAACAAACCTGCACATCCTGCACATGTACCCCTGAACTTAAAAGTTGAAGAAAAACAAAAGGAAAGAAAGTGAAGAAATTTCAAGAAAAGGCCAGGCGTGGTGGCTCACGCCTATAATCCCAGCATTTTGGGAGGCTAAGATGGGTGGATCACCATCTTAGGATGGTGTTTGAGGTCCAGGTCAGGAGTTTGAGACCAAACATGGCCAATATGGCGAAACCCCATCTCTATTAAAAATACACAAAAATTGGGAGTGGTGGGGGGCACCTGTAATCCCAGTTACTTGAGAGGTGGAGGCAGGAGAGTTGCTCGAACCTGGGAGGCAGAGGTTCTAGTGAGCCAAGATTGTGCCACTGAACTCTAGCCTGGACAACACAGTGAGAATCTGCATCACAGACCAAAAAAAAAAAAAAAAAAAAAAAAAAAATTCAAGTTAAAAAATATAAGAGTGGGAGAAAATGTCCCTAGGGACATGCCCTGCTTATTGACATATTTCATTCAAAAGATAAGTCACATTTCCAGATAACTTCTTATTTTCCATATAGTTGTTAGTAACTGAATCTGGAATAGACTTTCTTAGTTAGAAATACAAAAACATAAACAGAAGCTTTATTTGCTTCTTGGACCCTCATGGAAAGAGGCTGGTGGAGAAAAAAGAAATTATGTTATAATTTGAAAACTAGATATTACCATAGTTACATATGGCACTATAACCCCCTAAAGAGTATGCATCTTAGTCATTTTATTAGCAATAAATCCAATAATTAACACATGGTGATCCTCAAATATGTTAATCAAATCAATGAATATATAGGGTTTTTATGTCAATAATAAAATATTATTATTTAAAGTGACTTAAAGAGAAGGTAAAGAGAAAAAAGTCTGGTGATATTTAAAACAAACTCTTTTATTTTAGTATATCAGAAACATATTATAAGAATCAAAGAGAACACACAGATTCAGCAAGAAGGCACACTTCCATCACCCAGCAGAAAGATACATGCTGCTAATAATAAAGGGTGTTCATTAAAAAAAAAAAAAAAAAAAATCAGAGTGTCTTACACTGTTCCTAAGCCATTCAGTCAAGGCACTGGTAACAACAAAACACTTTATTCTCAGTATAAAAAAAGGATTATCAGTATTAATTGTTAAAACTCGCTGTAGATAAACTAGATACTTAAAAATATATAGGCAGATAAGGCAAGAAAATAGAAAATTTAAGTGTTAGAGATTACTCTTTAAAAAGAATTATGATACATTTTTTGTGTTCATCTCAAAAGTAGCTTCATATAATACCATAGGCACAAAATGATGAAAGGTCACTGATGTATTGCCAACTCATTTTTATGAGATAAATTCAATTATAATTGCTGTGACTATTCCAGCCACAATGTAGACATAGAATCCAATTATCTATTTCATTTTCATTTATACCTCATGGGCTAGATCATTTATCATGTTTCATGATAATGATCAGAAGACACATGGAAAGTGATTTCTGGAGGTAACAAATTACCTTCCATATTAGCATAGCTTACAAGTTCCTGTCAACAACTACTATGCATAAATATGAGGTAATTAAATTTACAATGTGAAGGAGTGTTTGATATGCTACTTGCTTCCTTCACAGCTGCCAAAAATCTGGGTTGCTAAGTGCAGCAAAACCCTTTGGTTGCAAATCAGGAATCATTATGCCCCAGAACCCCAACAGGTAGATGGTGTGCTCGGGCTCAAGGTGCTGAGATGCATCTTTCATCATCTGGTATTATTACTTCTTACCACCAAGCCATCCATCATTACTGCTGAGACAGCTTGAAATGATTGTCCTGGACTCTCACATTACTGCTCCTTGAACTCTATCTCATCCATCTTTTGCATCATTCCTGATTCACAGCTAAGTACCCTCTCCCCGCTACAAAATCAAGTGTGAACTATAGTGCCTTTCACCTACAGTGCTTCTCTAATAGTGATTGACTTCTCTTTATTATGGAGCTACTGTTCAGAAAAGACTATCCATGATTGCTGATGGTTGATTTTTAAAAAATCAGACGTACAGAATTCAATAGTTTTAGGAAAATGCACTCATTTACATGCAAGTTAGGCTTCAAAATTGCATTAGTATTTCTATTTGAATATTTATCTATAAACCTCAGCAACACAAACATAGACAGATACAGATGCCTCTGAGTGTACAGATATACACAAAAAGAAAAGATAGCCTGTACCATATATACAAAAGCAGTGTTTCAATCTGAAAATTATTAATCAGAATTTCAAAAACGTTTCACAATAAAATTCAAAACCTTAAGGTATCTAATATGTTGAAATTATAAAATATGTTTAAGTGACACAATGCAAACAAAAGAGGGATTTAAAGTTAGATGCAAGAATATAAGTGAAAACTTCCTTTAAATTAAGTATCTTACCCACCCATTTTTCCCCTTTTCACTGACGCTAAGAGATCCTTCAAAATGATACCGGTAACACAGTGGTTGGTGTCCCATAAACTATCCAAGACTAAAGGTTTTAATTCAGCTCCATCTGAATGTTGTTATAAAAGTTTAATAAATCAAAATGATCAAAATGTTCTCGGTGGCAGATTGGGATTCAGTTTCCAATTCAAATTCTCTTTAATATATGGCTTCTCTGACATCTCGCATTTCTACCATCCATGTTGAATTCCAAACACCCTGCTTTACATCTTTACCATGCATCAACCAGTCTGATCATGGTAACTGCTTTTTAGCAATCCTGCACAGTACACAGAAATGCCAAATTGAGTGGGGATTTTAACACAGGAAGATTATGTCAGGTGGGAACTCTTTATCTACCCTTAAGTAAATATTTTCAAACCACCCACTACAGTGAATGACATTCTTTGAGAATGAGAAATGCTGTTAGCCAAAAGTCCTACACCCTCAAAAAAAAAAAAAAAAAATTCCCTCTCCCAACCCTTTAAAACATTGATGTAGGAAAAAGGTCCAGGAGCATTATTATCAGGAGCAATAAAATTCTGAAGAGAAAGTAGAGAAGCCTGTAGAGAGTTTGCTTTATTTCTATGAAGTAAAAAGTTTTACAAAGAAGAGGAAAAAGATTTCCACTTAACCGACAACCAAAATACAGTCAGGAATCTACATGAAGCAGTGGGGGATATCTTTCCACATGATATATCTTACATGTGTTTTTATATGCAGATAATGTCAGCAATAAAAAAGACATCATATTTAACTGCCTGGTTTCTCTTTCTAAATTTTCCATTTAGTTAAAAAACTGTGCTTTCATCCACAGTTAAACAACATGAAAAATTCCAATAATATAGGCTAAAGGCTATGAAATGGAAACTTAGGAAATACAAATAATTTCTATGCACTAAGCACCTATTGTTCAATTCATCCTGTATTGAGTCTTTACTTAATGCCCTATGATTAGTTTAAGGCTTACCCACATTCCTAAAGATTTTAAAACTGGATATGTTCCTAGCACCCCAATCGAAAGTTTACAATTAAACTTAACATCTATGCTCTCAAATGAGTTCTTCTACAAGGCTTCCAAATCTCTGACCATAATACCACATTTTATCCAATATCCCAAACAAAAATCTAGAAGTCTCCTTTGACTTCTCCTCCTACTGTCATTACACAATGCTTTAACAACATTGCTGCCTAATCTCTCATCCTTGACTCATTCTTTCTACCATAACCACCCCCCCCAGGAACACTTATCACTTATCATCTCAAGTTTTTAAAATTGTAAGAGCCCCCTTAACTTACTCCCTAAAAACGCGCCATTTTCCACATCATCTGGTATCCTGGTTTTCTGAGACAGATAATATGTAAGTAACCTACTTCAAAACTCCTAAAGGTTCCCAAATTAAATAACACAATGCATTTATATTTCTTAGTCTGGCACTCAAATTGTTCCACAGTAAGGCCTCAAAGTACAATTTCAGGATCATCTCAGATGTTTTCAGTGGAAAACACTGTGTTACAGTCAATATTTACTGCTAGTTCACAAGAACATGTTTTCCAGTGCCAGTCCCTCTACCCAGAATGCCCTTTACTTATCTTCCACTATCCAAATGCTACCCACCCATCAAGAGTCCGATGGAACTTCCCATCCTCCTCAGCACATCCCCTGACCATTAAAAGGCAGCCACGAGGCTGCCCTCCTCATTCTACACATTAAATTCATGTCATTCATATGGCACTTTATACCTCACTATTTTTGTTTTTTTGACAATATTTGATGAGACCTGCTAGACTTTGATCATGGTATTGGCTACAGAGATCCAATCATGAGTGAGCAAAAGGAAAGGGGTCCCTAAGTACATCAGTCTCATGGAGGAGACAGATGTTATGAATGCAGTTATATTTTGAAGGAGCAGGGTGATTAGAAAAAGCCAAGACCCTAAGGCATGAGAGATCATGGTATGTTAAAGCAAGTGAAAGAAAACCAGTGTTGCTAGAGTTTAGTGAGCAAAGGAGAGTCTTATGAAGGACTGAAGGGGGTGAGCCCAGCTAAAAGCCTAGGAGCAAGCAGGGCCTTGGAGCTGTGATGAGGCAGCTGGAATTTATACCGCAAGAACAGGAAGCTGCCAGTGCCAGGGGGAGCATATTCTGACTTACTGTGTCATACAGTCACTCTGGCTTCTGTGTGAAGACTGCCTTGGAGAAGGTAAGCGTTCATGGAGGGAGATCAATAAGTAGGTTTTTTATAGAAGTACACGAAAGAGAAGATGGTGACAGAGACAAGTGGTGGCAGTGAGAATAAAGAAAAGTGTGGGGCATTCAAAGGCTATGCAATAAAATATGAATAACGGAATCTATTTATATACATATTACAAACAAATTTCAGACATACAGATTTCTATTCACTGCATTTCCAACAGCACAAAAATCTTTGAGACCATTCTCTTGTTATGCATATACTTACTGATAGTAGGCATTACATAAAGATCTTTCAAAAACTTTGACCTAAATAACTCCGGAGGAAAAAAAAAAAACAGTAAAACAAAATCAATGAATTCTCTTCTGTACTAGAAAATAATTGCCATTTGGCCTTTAGGTATTTTTGGGGAGGGGGGGTGGGGAATAAGAAGAAAGCTGAAAGGAATAAGAATGTAAAAGCGTGCATCTATTCAAGAAAAAATACGCGAGGGTGGAAAGAGCAGGAAGTCTAATGCCCAGAGACAGAAGTATACTCGGAAGAGCTGGCTTTGCCTGCTGTGGATCAAGGAAGGAGGTGAGTGATAAAGAACAAATTTGGAGTGGCAGTCAGGGGATATTTCATTTAAGGTCACTTAGAACAGGAAAGGACTGTGATTTTTTTTCCCCCTTAATGTGAAGGGAAGCTGCTGGAGGAGGTAGCATGGCAACATGAGAGTAGCCATGGTATCTCCATATGTATAAAAAAGACTAATGAAAATCCAGGGGCAATCAGCAATACGTAAATAACCAGGTGGGTAAAATTTCTTCCTAACGAAGGTACAAGTAATTACCTACTTGCTGTTTTGTTGTTTAATACAAGGACAGATTCTGTGTCATCATAGCTAAATCTATGACTCCAAATCAAGCAACAATAAAGAAAAACAACAAAATATTTTCTCAGTTTAGGGCTCAGAAAACAGAAACTGGAGAGCAAAAGAAAGTTATGTGCCTATAACAAGGATAAATTATATCCTAAAGTGTAAAAGTCACTGTATTTATATACCTTGTAAGAGATGAGAACACATCTATAGGCCATAATTTCTCTAAAAACAAGTATCAGAGCTAAAGTAAAGCCTGTACAAGAAGAGACTGTTGTATATTTATATTTGAGGAAAGCCGCCATATTTTCTGCCATATTATTTAATTTCTGTCCAGCTCTCCGTCCCCAAATTCTCACTTTTAATACTGAAATGTTACAATATTTCCCTTTTTTTCTAAAAATTAATAATCATGAACTAAACACAATCTATGCTGAGGAGTGACAAAGTATTATTTATCTGTATTCATTTGTGTTGACCTTATACTTGGTTTTAATTCTTGTCAGATTATATTATTTCCTAGAAAGAGGGAAAACATCATTTATCTTAACCCAGATGGGAAAGCAAGCAATTTCTGTGGTACTATCATAAACTTTGAACAAGCCGGTTTTGATCGACACATTAATAAATAATTACATATTATTATTTGCTTTATTTGTAAGGCTTCTACATAACATTTTATGCATTTTTTTGTTTTCTATATATTTCCATGTTTGTATTCTTAGTAACAGTCAGGTTCCTGATCATGCTTTACTGGTCAGCAGAATGTATATTAGCTAGCTTTTTAAAAGATGTACTGCTTAAGTGGCAAATAATTTATGCTAACTGCAAGACTAAACACAAAAACTCACCTGTAAGTCATATAGTGGTAGAGAACCCTGCTATTAATGACTCTCTTGAAGATGAAGTGGAGGGGAGAGTGGGAGAGACTCAAGAACTCAAACTAATGAAGTAATGTCCCACTACAACACTTCTATTGCCATCCTTACTCATTATACCACTAAACACTCTGATTTATCTCCCTGCCCTCACTGATTGATTCCAATTTGTCAACTATAGAGCTTCTGTTCAATTAACATTCTATAAGACTCTCCCAGTGTAACTTTTTAAAGCCAAATTAGTGCTTAATAAGGGGTTTCAATGAAATAGTTGCTATTTCATTGCAGTTAGAAAATAGGTAGACTATTTTTTATTTGTTAGGAAACATTTTTTATTCTTACAGAGTTTAAAATCAAAACCTAAGTCAAAATTCTGTGTCATGATACTCAATAATTCTACATTTCCTATAGAATTAAATTATGAGATTCTTAAGTACTGAGACTATGTATGCGATTTTTTTGGCATTTGTCTTTATTGAATACTTAACATCATAATATGCACTTGCCTATTACCTCATTAAGAACTCAATAAAGGCTGCTAGCTGATTTTTCAATGAAGTTGCAAATAAACCCAGAAAGACTAAAAAATCTTAGTTCAAATGGACACTGTTTCTTTATTTTTGGTTTGGGGTAAGAGAAAGAAAAATGATTAACAGATAGGGGAATATAAACTACGAAGACACTCGGGCCATGTAGTAGATAGGAGTCCCTTGGTAGACGGAAATGGGTCCAAATTACATTTATCACAAACTCCAAGAGAAGAGAATTGAAACTTAGAAAACGTGTACAGGCCTACTGTCAACAATCTGAAATAAAATTCCCTTGAGTTCAGCACAAATAATTATTAATGATGCAAATGATTCTGCTTCCTCTTTGATCCTTTTCAAATTCTTAAGACGAAAGCTTCATCAAAAGCAAACCCCCAATATTTACTCCAAAGAGCAGTGACCAGTACCCTACCCACTCAACACACAAATTGCCTAGGAAAATAAACTGAGAAACCTTTAGGGAAAGAACTCTCATCGCATTTTTATTTTAAAAACAAACTGAAAGAAAATAAATAAAATGAAAAAAATCAATCTGACAAACACAACTGCTGCACTTTACTATCCTTATGGAGTAGCTATAAGGAAACTCAGAAAAGGAGAAAATTAATAGAAAAAAGTATTTGGCATAATGGTGTACAGAAGTGGATCAAGTAGAGTTTCAGTAATTATATGAAGTCCCAGTCAATATTCATATTAGATTTAAAAGCCATAATTTTTCTACTACTCTTAAATAAACATAGATACTATCTTTTTTTTAATACTTTTCAGCTTTGAAAATGTATGTTTAATGGACTATATGAACAATTCAAATGAGTGTCTAGTTTCTGGTTGCACCAAAATATACTATCTGAAATAAGAACATCTAGCACTCTTTTGCTCATTTAGAATTTAAATATGTACCAGACATCTTGAACACTGAATCACCTGAATTACAAGTAGATAATATGAATGAGAGGAGACTCCAAATGTTTCTTTTATCATACTCAAGGGGAGCAAAGTAAAATTTTTAAATATGAGAGATTTGGAGACTCCTCCAAATTTGACACATTTGGTATCCACTGGCTGCATGGGCTTTTTTAAATATTTAGGGGTTTTGGGGGGTAAAATTAGTATGTGATTCAGTGTGTTCTGAAATGTTCATTATATTTCAGTTTTTAGAAAACATAGCTGTTTAAATTACATTCTCCAAGATAATTCCAAACTTCCTGTCAAGATGACCAGTTTTCACAATAGAAGAAAAGGGATCTCAAGTCACCATTAAGAAAAAGGATCTTTATATGAATTCATGAGCCTAAAAGCTGTGCTAGGGAAACTAGTTAAAAATCAATACTGCATGGTATTAAACAGCTTGCTAAAGGTCTCAAGCTAGAAATTCCATGGCCCTTAGCCACCAACTAGCAAAACCTTGCTTCTTATATAAAAACACCAAAAAAATTCAGATTTAATTTTATGTACAAAAAGATTAGAGTACCGGAATAGAATACTGGTCAAATCAATATTATTTTTCAAATGAAAAATATTTACACCAAACTGAAAAGTCACCCTTAATAACCCACTTGACAAAGGAAAGAGTCTGGTGTAGACACCACAATTGTCATCATCACTTCCTTTATGCCAGCAAACTTGACTCCATCTGTAGGTGAGAAGAAATATGTGGTTCATTGCTCATCCCCTACATATGCCAGGGTCAGTCCCACTCCTCTGATTTCAACTAAACAATTTTATTTGTTGATTTTGAGAAAAGTACTGAATTTCTTCATGTAAATATTGTGCTAGGTGCTGAAGCAAACAAAGATGAACAAGACAGGCTCTGATAGGACATAAACTACAATTACAGTAAAAGCAGAATCTGAAAAGTTCTAATAGGTTTTGAATGCTTTCCTTCTTCATATGCATAGTAAATAACTGACATAAAGCAAGTGATTCCATGAACAGTTCACCATTGACCAAATAAGCTACGATCCTACTGATTACCTATGATTCATACTGTTACTTGACTTAGTATGGTAACACCCTTCTCCAATAGTACCATATTCCAAACTCTGTATGTCCTTCAGGATTAAGTTGTACCTTCTCTTGACATTATTTCCTCAGTTACTATCTTATCTGAATAAAATAAACAACTAATTCTGAGTAACACTGTTTACGCTCTGGAGTCCTGTGTACAAAAGCTCTCTACTGGACATACTAGCTGTTTATCCAATAACCAGTGATGCATTATTATTATTATTATTATTATTATTTTGATAGTTGTGGTAGGTACTGCCCTCTTTATCCCTAACTGGATAAGACCAAGGAAGCATGTAGTCATATTTCTCTCCTAAGACTAGGTGGTAGGCCTGGCTTAGGATAGAAGCCAAAATCATAGACTACAAAGTGAAGAATTGGAAAGAACGTGGATCTTTAATGACTTGATCAACAAATCCTGAAGCCTATCCTGTACTACCCAGTCACAAAAATTAGTAAATATTCTTATGTATAAGCTAGTTTATATTGTCTTACAACGGAATGACATCTGTTTGAATTTCTTATGATGTTAAACACCAACTCTGAATAAGGTTGGGTAACTACCCTGAGTAAGGTTAGGTAAAGTGATTGATACTAACCCCCATTTATAGCTAGAGGTCACTATTATTCATTAGGAACAGACTAAAATATTAACTAAATACTTCTGTGTCCAGAGCATTTTGATAATGACTAGTAATTGACACTAAAATTTAAAACTCAAGCCATTAACAATGACAAACCAAAAACTGTGCTTTCAAACTGAAGTACTTAAAATGTAACTGTAGTTTCACAGGTAAAAATGATAGATATAAAACTATAACAATTTGCAATAGAAATTGAGTGTGAGGTGTAGGAATCAGAGAATTTTATAGAAGTTTTACTTAGGTCAGCTGGTTCGAGATGTAAGTGGGTCTTCGGTTTAGACAGATGGAAACAGACGGAGGAGATCACAGCTGAGGTGAGGATTGGCAAAATAATCTGTAGCATAATTAGATTACAAAGTTGGTGCTTTCAGTTTGAAGCTTGGTGCATTCAGTTTGAAGCTTATAAATACTACTTCGACTTGTATTTCAAATTTTTTACACTTCAATTTTGTAAAACACTGAGCAAAAATATCTGCTCTGCATCTCATCTCTATAAAAACTTCTTTGTCAATAGAGATTGGCCTCCATAAGCTGAATACATTATCGTTATTCAAAATGATCAGGAAGCAATGCTAAAGTCATAGCAAAGTAATTTCTGTTTCTCCATACTTTTTTTTATTCTTCTGGCTGTGGGAAAACATAGATCAATACTCTTCAGCATGAAAATTCTGCAATGAAATTTTCATTTGTAACAAACAGCAACAAAAAAGCCTTAAGCATGCCCTGTCACTTTCAGTTTAGGAGAAAATGCACTAATAAACTCTTACCCTTGGGTCATCTTTGACAACAGGCAATACCATGCCAGCTCTTATTAAAGACTATTCATATCACTGCCCCCAAAATTTCCTTTAAAATTACCATCTTTTGTATCCATGTAACAGGATGTCAGCTTTAAAAGTGCCAATGAGAGATAGGACCTGTCAGCACAGTTAATTCTCAGCACTGTTTCAACACCAAGACAGCTGACCCCCGAGAGTATGTTTTTGGTTAGTAATATTTATTTGGTGGTTATCTCTACAAACAAGAAAACTTATTCCTCTGTATTGGTTTTCAAATAAAACAGCAAGCAAAGTATCACCTGTACGTATTAAATATAGAACAACCTAAAGTGTGTTGAAAGAAAAATAAAATTGTCAAAACTATCAAAATATATTTCTAAAATGATAGCAGATTCTGGATAACAAATTCAAAATGCCATCATCTTTCAACTCAACCTTTCCAACATAAAAATCACAAAACTTATGGCAGGACTTTCTTTAAAAAAAGGAAAAATAAGGCCGGGAGTGGTGGCTCATGCCTGTAATCCCAGCACTTTGGGAGGCTGAGACGGATGGATCACAAGGTCAGGAGTTCAAGACCAGTCTGGCCAACATGGAGAAACCCCCTCTCTATTAAAAATACAAAAATTAGCTGGGTGCGGTGGCACACATCTGTAGTCTCAGCTACTTGGGAGGTTGAGGCACGAGAATCACTTGAACCCAGGAGGCAGAGGGGGCAGTAAGCCGAGATCCTGCCACTGCATTCCAACCTGGGTGACAGAGCGAGATTCTGTCTCAGAAAAATAAAAAAAAAAAAAAAAGGTCAAAATTTTCAATGAAATTTAAGGATCCTCTTTCTTATAAATTTTATTGAAATAATTATTAATTTAACAAGTAATACTGCTGGAAGAGCATTGTAATGTAGTTGTCTCCAGGTAAGGAAAACCAGGCTTTGATAAAATAATAAAATCTACTTATCAATTAAGATAAACAAAAGAGATCCAGTAATGACAAAATGATTCTCTTTTAAAATAAACAGGCAGAAAATGTTCGCATGAAAGAAGAAACTATACATATAAAGGGAGCACCTGGATAAAAGCATAAACAGGTCTTCTACAATCTTTTGAGAAATACATCAAGAGTGACTTTTCTGGAAAAAAATGTATAGATAACTATATAGAACATATATAACTATGTATTATACATCACTGTTATTCAAAAGCATTCTAGGTACACTATTAAGATACCATCTCCTTCACTGGTTGCAAATTGTGAACGCATATATGGTAAAGAAGATCCAGTGAGCATGATAATTCAATAGCACGCCCACGTTCCTGTAGCCATAGCATATTAATCACCCTGAAGATTACCCAAGGACACCTTCAGGCTTTCAAAATTAGGCTCAGGTGAGAGAGATGCTGGAATGGGACTTAACAAAGATGCATGTGTGAACATGTGATAAATTGTTTCTCTGCCTAAATACGGAAGTCAAATACTATCATATTTTCTTAATTGAAACTGGGATCTCATGAACTTGTGCAGGTGATATGAGCTGAATACGGAGACATCAGACAAGTTACACTGAAAATAGTCGTATTTAATCTATAAAGTTTTTTTAAAAAATGAGTGATAGAGTCTTCCAAGACTAAAGTTTACAAGAGGTTGATCGCATCATCCAATAATGGTAATGCGAGGGAAAACTGTAGTGGAAAAGAATGAGCTCACCATTAAGAATCAAGAAACAATGGGTTCTATTCTGGCTGTCAATCATTAGATTTAATTTGCTCTGGGTAAATTATCATAAAGTGTGAATTTCAAATTTCTTTTCGTTAAAAATATCAAAGGTTAAAGTATTAAAAACAAGACAATATTGAATAATATATGTAAAAGATATTTGATGCCAAGCATTATAAAATATGGACATATCTCATATTCTCCTTCCAGCCCGTAGGCCTCGGCATGTGCTGTGTTCTCTGCTTGCTGGTGTTTCTTTCTCTTGCCCCTGACTCTACATCCATACCCCTACTTGGGCAACTTTCTCTCAACCTTCAGATCCTTACTCAAAGAAAACTCACTTGCAAATGCCTTCCATGATAGTTTTACAGTCTCAGCCCCAGTTTAGATATTTTTGCTAAAGTCTCTCACACTTCTCCTCGAAGAGACTTAAACAGGTTACGATTATTTTCATTTGTGTCAATATTGATTGATGCTTGATATCCTACTCAACGGAGCTGCTTTACCTCTAGATTTTCATATGGCTGAAGTCTCTATTTTTATTTTTAAGCTTTCAGCTCAGTTGTTACCTTCTCAGAGTGGTAACCTTAAGACTGGTTCCAGAACACCTTAACTAAAATATCAATTTCCATCGTTTTGTGTCTATTTTTCCTTCATAGCCCATACCATGACTTGATACTACATTTTTAACACCTGTCTATATAGTCTGCCTAACATAATTCAATATGATGCTCCATGTGGGTAGGGACATTGTATTACATTTACAATCGTATCTCCAATATCTACAACCTAGAACAGTGCTTACAATATAAGAGGGACTCTATACATCTTAAATGAATGTAATATGTGTTTTGCACTTGTACTTTTCCAGTATTCACTACAAATATGTACTGATATGTCATAATCCCTGACATTCTTCTAGTAACTTTAGTATCCAAGAATATTAGTGAGGACTGTTTGGTAGTTCTAACTTTCTAAGATTCTATAAGAGACATGCATCAGTGAAAATTCACTATTGGGTTTTGATACCAGTAAAATTTGTAGGACTATATGGAAATAGAAACTTGGACCTTGACTTCATTGCCACAATGCTTCAAAGAAAAGTAGTATCCGCAGAACTGTTTTAAACGGGAAGAACTAGATCTAAAGTTAAAATACAAACGAGGTGATGACAATGTGGAATAAGGTATTTGATATATTTAGTCCACTTAGAGCATTATAAAATAGATTTCTTTCAATGGCAAACACTTACTAGAAACTTCAAAAACTTTACAAACTACAGTCTTAATTTCACCTTCACACATTCTGAGAAATTGTATGATGATATATTTTTTATAGTGACTTGACATCAGAAACACTATGGTTTAAAAATCAATCAAAATATCTACAGAGTTGCTTTTGTTCTAATAAAGCCATGCAATTTCGTGAAGTGAAAACAATTTCACCTTACCTCTCACAATAAGTTGAGCAAAATTGGACACACCGGAACCTCGTTCTGACTGAGTTACACAGCGATACAAATCCTGGTCAGTTTTTGTCACTTCTTGCAATCTGAAGGAAGCGGCAAACCTTCTATGATTGATGTTCTTAGTCTGGGCTACTGGTATATCTTCTCCATTTCGTCTCTGCAAACAGAAACCAATCTTTAAAAACAGGTTCTTACTATTTTCATAAATCTATAAAGCATCTTAGCAAGCAATATCTGTGATAAATTATTCTTGTTGCAAAAGAGCCACAATTTTTTTCCATTGTCAATCAGGAAAAGAATGTAAGTAAATACTGGTATCCTCGAAAGCAGTGGTCCTCAACCTTTTCGGCACAAAAGACCAGTTTCCTGGAAGACAATTTTTCTATGGAACAATGAGGGGATGATTTCAGGATGAAACTGTTCCACCTCAAATCATCAGGCATTAGATTCTCACAGGCACTCACAGCCTAGATCCCTTGCATTCACAGTTCACAGTAGAGTTCGTGCTCCTATGAGAATCTAATGCCACAGCTGATCTGATAGGAGGCAGAGCTCAGGTGGCAATGCTTGCTCACCCACTGCTCACCTCCTGCTGTGTGGCCCTGTTCCTGACAGGCCACAGACCAGTACCAGTTTGCAGCCTGGGGGTTGGGGACCCCTGCTCTAAAAGGTGTAGGGCTGACACTATGGTAGTAATTCTCAGTTCTCCATAAATTGCTACTACACCAGAGTAAATGAATTAACAGGAGAGTTAATGGGTCCAAGGCAAATGATTCATTGCCCCCATGCTCTCAGAGTAATATATACAAGCTTCTTTTAGCCCTTATGCTGTATTGCCTGTGCTGTAGTATGTTTTTCCCCACCAGAAGAGTAAGAGCATTGCCTGTGCATCTCTGTATTCCAAATGTGTAGCATGTGCTGGCCACAGAATGATAATAAACTAATGATGAATAATTTAGAGTCAAACCAAAATCTGTACTCTTTGCAAACAACTCTCTCTTTGGCATTAATGACAGCCAATTTATACATTTTAGAGAATTAGTCAAAAGAGCCTAAACTTTGAAAGCATACCTGTCAAATTTCAAAATGAAATACTGGAAGCCATATTTATGATATCAGCATATCCCAGACAAGAGTAATAAGTATAAACTAATAGGAAATGACTGAAAAAAATTCAACTATAAAAAATTTATAACCTCTATATGTTCAAAGACATCATATATAAAGGGGAAAAAACAAGTCACAAATAGTGATAAGTCATTTGTCAAGGAAATACCCATCAAGGAATAAATAGCCAGAATACGTAAAGATCTTCTATATGCAATTAGAAAAAAAGATAACTCAATCAAAAGTGAATAGGGTATAAAAAAGAGAAAGTGTATGTCTAACAACCATGAAATGAGATTGTCAATCTAAATTTTAAAACTTCTATATGTCAAAGACAGCAAAAAGGACAAAGAAAACCCACAACGCTGAGAAAGAATTGGTCATGATCCACAACCTCATTTCTTGTTGGTGAAATTCTAACTACCCCTGGTATCTTTCATATTACTTGAAATATCACTTCATAGGGCTATATATGGGAAACAAAAATGATAACATTCCTGTTGGAAGTGTAAACTGCTAGAGTGACTTTAGAAAATGATTTGTTACTATCTAGTAAAGTTGAGGATGCATAAACCTCAGGACCCGGCAATTCTACTTCTAGGTTTCCACATTTGAACCACCAGTGTATGTGGGATCAAGGAGATACGTACAAGATGTTGAACTCTAAATTATCTGTGATTGTGAAATATGGAAAATATCCAAATATTTCTGAGTAGCAAATAAATAAACTGAATTTTATTCATTCAGTAAGATACGATGGGACAGTTAAACTAGGCAAGGAAAAACCAGCAATGTATTGGTAAAATTTGGAACTGTTAGTTCTCCAACAAGAAACATAAAATGCCATTTTGTAGTATTTGTCCATTTCTGGGGTGTAAATACTCCACTATAGCAACTTCAGTTTATCAGTGTGATATCAAAGTTCCTGAAAACTTAACAAATTTCTGGCACTCATTGGTTCCAGCATTCCACTGATTAGTACTACATGTATGCATGTTTAAATGTTAATTTAAAAATTCCTTAAGGATAAGATGACATGAGACAAAAATATAAACTGTTAACTTCTATTAAATTAGGGTGGTGGTACATTAATGGCTATTTTATTGTTTTCTATGATTTTTTGTACATTTGAAATTATATTTTTAGAGTAAATAATAAAGAGGATACTCTATTGCTTTAATAATTTTCTAAATCCTGGCCAGGCGCGGTGGCTCACGCCTGTAATCCCAGCACTTTGTGAGGCCGAGGCGGCTGGATCACGAGGTCAGGAGATCAAGACCATCCTGGCTAACATGGTGAAACCCCGTCTGTACTAAAAATACAAAAAATTAGCCAGGCGCGGTGGCGGGTGCCTATAATCCCAGCTACTTGGGAGGCTGAGGCAGGAGAATGGTGTGAACCCAGGAGGTGGAGTTTGCAGTGAGCCGAGATCACGCCACTGCACTCCAGCCTGGGTGATAGAGCAAGATTCTGTCTCAAAAAAAAAAAAAATAATAATAATAATAATAATTTTCTAAATCCCAAATACACTGTATCTTTAAATACCTTTCTCCATATCTTAAATCATGCATATGCATATTATGTAGTAAATACATATATGTTTCTGCATATGCATACAAAAATACCTAAGGACATCAAATCCAAATCAGGATTTTGCTATTTTTTATTCATTACTTTTGTTAATTTTTCTCTGCTTACCAACCTATTTCAGGATTTTTGCAGCAAGATCCCCCACTCATTCCCTTGGATAATAAGGAACTGAAAAAGCAGCTTATATCCAAAAATATAAATCCATAAAATCAGCCAAAACTCTTTCCCTACAAACCACATAAACCAAAAAAAAAAATTATACATGCAAACCTCAGACTGCGTTTTTTTCAATTAGCACATCATTTCCATACAATCTTCCTAATTGGAAGGCCCACCACGCTGCTTACTTTTGTTATACAACCTTATCTGGGCTTCCTCTAGCTTATCTCTCCAGGTGTGTTCTCAAACTCTCTCCTTGCTCCCTGCCATATGTATTTCTCAGTTCTTCTGCACGACTAGCCAATTCCCACTGCCTGTACTGACTTCCAAATTCTCTTGCACATGTCCACACCCACTCAAGTCTTCTCACACTATGCCTTTCAAAACCCTTCTCTTGTGAAGAGATTCTGAGTATCCTTAATGTTTCCTTCTCAATAATCATTATTCCATCTTTTCACCTTTATTGGCATTCCTCTCACAACACTACTATCTCAAAGGAGGGTACATTTTATGGTACCTTACACCCTCTTTCAGGGACAGCTACCATTTTCCTGGTTCCTAACTTGAAGACAACTCTTCCACTTTCCCACTCAATCACCTCTCAACTTTTGGAATTCGCAGGGTGCCCACATATCATTCCCATCACTGGGAATATTCACAGACCAAATTATCCTCCCTAACCCAGTCCTGTGAATATTCCCATTGATCCTCAAACTCACTTTGGCCTCAGTGATCCCCAACAGCCTCCCTTACCACCTTACAACATCCAAGTTCCTGTGCTGTGACAGTTTCCTCTCGAATCATAACAGCCCGTGCAATTCAGTCTCTCACTCCTTCAATCCTCTACATTGGCAGTGAGACCTCATTTTGTGACCCTTATCTTTACAGGAGTCATTTCAAAGAGACATTCTCTAGCCTGAAAGGGCTCCAGATTCTTTCAACTTTCTATTGTTTATGCATTGCCAATATTGAATTTGCACTATCTTATCAACTATTCTAAAACTACTGACATTTGCAGAAATCGGTCATTTGTTCTTATGAAAAATGTCTGTGTTATCTAAAAATGGAGATTAAAAACTTGCAGACATTCCTACTTGATTTCCACGTGACCTGATCTATGGTATCTAGCTCCTTCCCCTCTGCCTCAAGTTCGCATTCCATCAGCTCATATATACTCTTCCCTTTCTACTCCTGCTGACAGGGTCATGGATACTGCCTCAAAAACTCTATAAAAGATTATAAAAACTTATTAACTGACTTTTCTATCTTAAATCTTTTCTACTATGATATATTTATCAATGTCTTTTCATCTGTTTGTATACTGAAATCATTCTGAAGGTAGGGTTTCATGTCTCATTTATATATATTTTTTCCTCCATAATATTTAATATATATTATCTTTATTTAGCGGGTGGCTCAAGTACTTTGTTAAAATGAATTAAATTCACTGAACATTTTAGAGACAAGAGTCACATAAATCCTCCTTAGGCTTTTATTAAGTTATAATAAAATACACATTAATCATCAATCCAAATTAATAATAAAGGGAGGTTACAAAAATATTGAATTTCAAGGACACCAAGAGATCACTGACACCAAGCTATTTCAGAAATAATTATACCACAACTCAGAGAGGCTGAGGGGTATACTTAAACTCATCCAGGCAAGATATCACCAAGCTGATATATTACATGATGCTTATATGTGTGTGTATTAATATACTAATATAACTATAAATACATATGCTTATATAGGATGTATATTATATAATTAATGAGTACAAAAGACTTATGTGATATTTATTTCTTGAAATAAAATAACAAAATTAACAGTCATAATATTCAGGTTTATCTTCAATAATCATTTAATAAGCACCTCCATGTACCTTATATTATGTGAGCTGTTACTGGTTCTGTGGCTTCTCTCTCTTATGAACTTTTCTGATACAGTCATATCCAATTAAAGTTCAGAAAGATTAGAAATGTGATGCACATAGCCTGTTAGCAGGACTAAAATTCAAAACTAGGTTTGATGACCTAAAATACAGCAGACTTTCCTCTAAACTAAACCAAAGCTGTTATGTTCATTTTGGTTACAGTTCCTATCCAACAAATTGATTATTTAGTATTGAGGTTTAATCAAGGCATCGTTCCAATGGGCTAATATAATCTATATTAGACATTGCTTTCTTTACTTGGCTTCCAACGATTCATTAGAGCTAAAGGTAACAATTGAAAACATTTAAATTCTAGAAGTCAAAAATAACTTTTCCTTTTATAGGCTCTTTATTCTGCTTTGAGTTTTTATATATGATTTCTCCATTGCAAATGTATACCCACCTCTGAGAAGTACTGAAAAATGAATCACACAAATATATGATCCAAGGGATTATAACCTAGCACTACTTTTTTTACCTGCTTTCCATCCCGCCCTCCAATCCATCTCAGGCTTCTGTATTTATTTTGTCTCCAATACAAGTTGCTGGATAAAACTTGTCACTTACCAAGTAACCCTGGGCAAGTCACTATAATCCTCAATGTTATCACTCCTCTCCTCTACTATACTAAGTCAGCTTCATCATGCACAGTGCATGCAGTATTCATTTGACAAGTTTCATTCCTGGTGGAATATAGTGGTAATAAAGGTTGATTCTCCAACATCTATTTTCACCAGCCAGGCTATTAACCAAACACCTTGCCATGTGGTCTACAGACCAGTAGCATCAGCATCAACTGGCAGATTGTTACAAATGAAGAGTCAAGAGATCACTTTAGATATATTGTATCAAAATCTGCATCAAGATATTACACGTGGAGACACACTGGGCCATTAACACTAGGTTAACCTGAGTCTTCTTTCCATTAACAGTGACATGTTTTTAAAATGGGGTATCGGTCCATATTCTGGCCAAGGAGATATGATAGGAATTGGTCAAGTTATTTCTAAAAAGGTTTCCTCACTTCTAAGGAGACATAAGAAAATGGGTTCCCTTTGCTTTTTCTTACTGTCATGCCAAAACCTGGAAGAGCTGATTCATCACCATAAGGCAGTCCAGTCTAAGGGAAATGCTGATGCACTCAGGATGGCATATCAGGCAGAGAGACAGAGGAAGTTACTTATCAAATCTCTGAAATGACACCAACAATTACTAGAGCCCAATTCTCTTTGGACTTTTTGTTAAATGAAATAATACATTTGGTTTTCTATTACTTTCAGCTTGAAAGTATCCTAAAAGAAATATGGTATAATTAAAATATGTTACACTTTACTTCAGAGTCTCTTTTCAAAGTTTGAGGAATAAAATCAATCCAGTTTCATTTCAGACTAAAAAGAGCTGCACTGACAATACATGTCGAGATTATTTCAAGGCTATTGACTTGAAAATAATCAAATTACATTTATTTATATATTTATTTCTTCATTGACTTTCATATATCATTGACTATCATATGTCATTGACATAATGATATATGATTCTCTCATCTTCTTAAAATTGTAGGACTCAGAAAGAGCCTATTTTCTTATGTTTGATATTTAGGTCCCTGTTGAACAGCATCAAGAAGACTGCATATGAGTTGTCAAAATGAATTCCAAAGTGAATTTGCACAACTACGACCAAGTGAGGCTGACGTGAAATTTACAACATTCCAGCCAAATTAATCCCAAGGAACTGAGAGTTCCTTACTAGAGCTTGTCTGCTTTATAAGATTTGTATGAATTTTTTTCAGTCTCACAGGATGATAAAGATACTATCATCATCACAATCACCATTATTGAAGAACAAAATAATTCTATAATTCCAAAAACATGAAATCATTTTAAAGACAATTTTAAAAACATGAAAGTATTTCACAGAAAACTTAAATTTAGAAATTTCTAAAATTAAAAAATACTATGTTATTATTTTGAGAGAAGCACTGTTTCTTATTTATGGCCATAGAAATTATTATACTTATTTCATTAGAGTAAGTAAATAGTGTTCTCCTAGAAAAAAAAAATATGCTGAAATGACAATAAATTCAAACTATTGACTATCTGGCAATGGAAGGATGGAAGAAGGTAAATGAATACCATTTGACAGAGAGAGAAAGAGGTGGTGAATATTATAATTCTGAAATAAAGCAGGGTAAAGATGTGCTGGAGATAGCAAATACTAGAATCAGATTAATCAAGTGTAACAAAATATAAAGTCAGCTATTCAACAAGAAAAAGAGTTTCACCCTAGGAAGCATGAGTATCTTTGCAATGGAGAGAAAAGGTGACCAATAAGAGGAGCCACACGGACAGAGCAGGTGTAAGTGACAGAACCATGTCTGCTGGGGATGATACCCAGCTTCTAGCCCTGAAGTAACCATTTGTGAGCTGAACAATTTCTCATTACTTCTCAAATCTCTACCTTTTCATCTAACATTGGGTATATGTATTTGTACCAACTTATTCAACAGAGATGATGAGAATACTCTGTGAGATTGCTGTGCAAAGGTATTCATAGCAAATTCTGATAATCACAATATTATGAAGATGATAATCCAAACAATATCTAAGCAAATAATCTGTTTGATAACTGTGTCAGTCTTTTGATGTGTGTACTTGCCTATGCTACAATCTCCAGTTATTTCATTAAATACTAAACTAGGTGACCTTGTGAAGGCATTTTGTGAATGGACTTAAAATCCATAATCTAGTAAATAAGATTATCCTAGATAGTCTGAGTGGACTGGATTGAATCAGTTGAAAGGCTTTAAGACCAGGGGTGAGGCTTCTCCGAAGTAGAAGAAATTCTACCAGTGAACAACAGCTTCAGTCTGTGCATGCATGTTTTAGCCTGCCCTCCCCAAGGGCTTGCCCTACAGACTTCAGACTTGCCTAGCCAATCTGCACAAGCACATAAACCAATTCCTTGCAGTAAATCTCTTCAATTTTGTAAATAAAATCCTACTATATGTAATCTTATAATTATATAGACATATATATATATATATATATATATATATATATATATATTTCAATAAAATCATATCTATCTCCTACTGGTTCTGCTTTACTTTCTTGAGGCCAGAGGGACAGAGATGATTTTAGGACCAGAAGTGCTTCTAGAGAATCAGATTTTTATGGATGAACTTTCTGATTTGGTTCTGATTCTGGGTTTACTGAAATTTATTTTTCAGTCTGATTAGATTTAAAGGTACTTATAACCTCTCTTGCCAGTGGCAAAGAAGACACTACTAGTCCACTACATGATGCAGCAGTAGAGGCATGTAAAATATCACTCTTAGATATACTCCTAATCAAGTATCTATGGAAGGCAAAGTTTTGGTAACCATGTATTTGCTACCTTAGAACATTTTAGTCAAACAAAGAAACAAGAACAAAGAAACAAACAAAGAAACATAATGGGATTGGCTGGTTGCTTCAAACGGCACTGTAGAAAGTGGAAACGTGATGCATATGAGTCCACAACTATAAAACCATGCAATTTATAGAGTGAGAGGGAAGGTGGGTGAAGTCAGAAGACAAATGCAATGAAACCACCAGATCTGAGGGATTCTGGGAAGCTGATGGCAGTAGCGTAGTTTTTTAATCTTTCTGAACCTGCCACATAAAAACAGACTGACTAATAAGAGAGTATGGAAATAGAAGGACTAGACAAAAGTGGGGAAATCCCAGAAATCCCAAAAGGCAAGCTGCCGTATTTTAAAACATAACTCAAAGCAACAGAAGAGGGAAATCTGTAAAATCAGGTAAAGTTTCCTGAACCCCACCTCATTTTAAAACTTCAGGAAAACTTATTTCACATAAAAATGAATAACTTAAAAGTATCAAGATCAAACCCCACATATAGATTTTGTAAGATTAAAAGAAAATAAGGAACAGAGTATAATTCTTAGTGTCAATGAAAGTCAGTCAGAAAAATATGTCCATAAAACAGATCAAAACCGCAACATAATATTTCAAGATAAGCTAAAACATATTACGGAAATGATTCATGAGATGAAACAATATAAACTTAAACAACAAAACTCAGAAATGAAATGACAATTAAGGAAAATTAGAAATTAAAGAAATATCATTATTAATTACTAGAAATTATGAGTTCTCACTCATAAGTGGGAGACAAACAATGAGAACACATGGACATAGGGAGGGGAACATCACACACTGGGGCCTGTCAGGGGATAGGGGGCTAGGGGAGAGAGAACATTAGGAGAAATACCTAATGTAGGTGATGGGTTGATGAGTGCAGCAAACCACCATGGCACGTGTATACCTATGTAACAAACCTGTATGTTTTGCACATGTACCCCAGAACTTAAAGTCTAATTAAAAAAAAAAAGAAAGAAAGAAATAGAGAGGGAAAAAAAAGAAATTATGAGTAACTACAGTAAAGTCAACAGATGATTCCTGAATAATGAGTGAAAAAGGGGTAATTTTTAATGTTTAGAATAAGGAGAATAAAAATATTTGAAAGTGATCAATGATGACAGGCAAAGATCAAACAGAGAAAACAGAAGTCTCTACAGGATCAAGGGTACAGATAAAGTACTACAAATCATAGTTTTTTAAAAAACTTCTGGGTGCGGTGGCTCACGCCTGTAATCCCAACACTTTGGGAGGCCGAGGCAGGTTGATCACGAGGACAGGAGATCGAGACCATCCTGGTGAACATGGTGAAACCCCATCTCTACTAAAAATACAAAAAAAAAAAAAAAAAAATTTAGCTGGGCATGGTGGTGGGCGCCTGTAGTTCCAGCTACTCGGGAGGCTGAGGCAGGAGAATGGCGTGAACCCGGGAGGCGGAGCTTGCAGTGAGCGGAGATCGCGCCACTACACTCCAGCTGGGGTGACAGAGTGAGACTCCATCTCAAAAAAAAAAAAAAGCAAAAACAACAACAACAACAAAAAATTTTCTAAAATAAAAAAAAAGTTTATAAACTACATAATGAAAGAAAATACCACATACCTGATGACAGTATCTCAGAGTGACCTACTGTGATACATATTCTGGTAAGATTAATTAGAAACAATTATTTGCATATCTAGAAAAAATAGGTACAGACAGACACCAAGGCTTTATAGTGACTGACTGTACCTATTCTGTCTGTGAAAGAAAATGAAGTAACATTATTTAAGTTACTCAATTAAAGAAAATGTGAATGAAAGATTTCATATACTGTGAAATTGACTTAAGAATCAAGGGCACAAAAAACTATTATCAACATCTAAGAACTCAGGGAATACTATTCCCATGAGCAGTTCCTAAGGAATTTGAAATGCAAAAAAGGTGTTTCTGACGTACAAAATTACTAGATATGACAGGTGGGCTAATATTGAATATTAAAAACATAGTTACATTTAGAAGTGAGACTAAATAAGAGCTAAGTAGAAGAAAGTATATTATCCATGCAATAGCTATATGCTGACAATGGAGCTTTAGTACAAGTTTCAAAATAAAATGAGATAAAACCAATGTATAATTATGATATATTCTAAATCCACCTTCCTTATGTCACTGACAACCAAGAATATCGGTGTGGAAATAAAATGTAACTGAAAAGTTGTAATAAGATAAACATTGAGTAAAAACCTTTAGGCTTCAACTTGAAATATCCCTATGAACTCATTAGGTATTTTATCATTAAATATATGTGTATGTATTTTTTAGCTCTATTCACTGAAACGATCTAGAAATGAGTATCTCTCAGAACCTGCATCGTTATCTTGAAATATGATTTCTTACTAAAACTAAACAGGACATCATTGAAAAATGACTGATCTCACATCCAGAGGAGAAAGTGAAACATCTCACAGTACCAGGTAGCAAGGAAGCTCTCAAAGCCTACTATAATCATATCAAAAAGAATCAGGAGCAAATTTGGAGAGGTGCCCACTAAGCAAATATGGGACGATTTAAGATTTAATAGAAATAATAATTGCAACAAATTAAACTCCATTAAATATATTTAAATCCATGAGTGTATAATGATATTAAAAGAAAAAAAGAGTAAGTCATCTTTGCAGGATGATAGGGAACCAACTCATTTTAAACTAGTAAATATAGCAAAGATTGGAGCATGTATTTTCCCTTTCCTTAATGAATTGTGTTATTGGGTAACCAAATAGTAGATTAGGGGGAGTATGTATCTTTTCATCAACTAAACAAATACAAAAGAAATAAGACACACAAAAAAATGATAGAATATCACAGTTTTCTACCCCCAGGAATAAATATAGGCATTAATCATCAGAGACTGACAAGATCACAAAAAGAAAGATGACACATTTTGTTCCTCCTGTTATTATACCAAACACCACCTATGGTGTTGCCAAAGGATCAAACTTGACCCTGGATCTGGCTGCCAAGTTGCAGGAAATGGAGAGGAAAGAGGGACATGTGGAACTGAAGAGGGCATTAGTATGCAATCAGCAAAATGTGGACAGGGGAAGCTAGAAGTCAAACATCCTAGGCTCAACAGATAAATTGCGAGGAAAGGAATAAAGGACAAACCTACAGATTAAAAGTGACTTAAAAAGATGTCTAATTTTAAAAACTGGTAAGACTATGGTGTCTAGGGATGCATATATAACTGCAAAAAAACTACAAGGGTTAAAATTCATGAGAGTGGTTATTTGTAGAGGCAGGGAGACAGCTCTGTTATGCCTGGCACAGAGCACATGGACGGCACCTCTGGGATGGCTGGCAAGCTCTCTTTCTTGTCCTGTGTGATGTTTACCCGATATTGAGTCACAATAGTTTTTATTTTTGTGTGGTATTCTATACCTACGTTTTATTTTACAATAAAATAATTTTGTAAATTTTAGATCTTTCTAGCAGACTACTTTTCATAAAGAAGAAACCAGGCCTGCCAGTGATCCATGTTGTAATACTGATCCCAGGAGCTCAATGGGAAAGTTACAAAGTGCTTGACGTGACACACCTAGAAACACACTGAAGGGGCAGCTCTGCAAACAGGAGAGCATATTGTTCTTGCACAGAAAGAGAAGTAAATTATTTCTAGATATCGATAAAAAGCAATCCTTGAACTTCCATGACTGCCAGGCTTGTATAGTCCTGTTCCAAGAATAGATAAGGAAGGTAAAGAATATTATACGCATTATTCATTTATGATCAGTTATGTAATCTGTAAACATTAAATTCAGAGTTTATAAATTATTAAAGAAGGAAAAGAAAGCTTTATATCTGCAAGGCATTGATCTCTTTACGGTAGGAAGCCACATAAAATCAACCAAAATGACTTCAGGAGTATTTAACAATTCTAAAAAGTAAATATGATTAAACTTTCTGATGCTCATCATTACATATCCAAAATGCCAGAAAGCAGAAGAAAAACCTTATAATCCATGATATGAGATCGGTGACTTTATCTCAAGACCTATAAGCAGAATTCTTTATATAAAGCTATGCAGAAAGAAGATAATGCTGTGAATTAGAATATACCAATGGCCCAATGAAAAGCAGGACTGCCGAGTGTTGGCTCTTAGCTACGAAAGAGAACACGGTCTCTTAAGTGGATCAGAATTAACTGTAAACCAGTGTATACATGGCAAAATCACTACTGCTTAGACAAAAGCAGAGAAAATTAGAATTAAATAGCAAGCTACTATTCATCTATCAGCTAAAGTTTAGAGCAGGTGACAAGAAACTAGGAAAGCACAAGGGACATGGTTTGCACTCCTCACACTCCTGTCTTGTGAGCCAGAAGTTACAGAAGCAGCCAAGGTTGAAGGCACCAACAGTTTTCCCATAGATTAATTCTCCTCAGTGACACCTGGGCCACTCAGAGGTTTAAGTTGGCGACAAGCTTCAAATTGTCTTGGTAAACTTTTATTAAAGCTAGAAAGAGTCAAAAGGAATTGAAATGTCTCCTCATTTTTCACTCCTACTGAGGAACACTTACATGAAATTATGAAGGTAGAAAGAGGTAAAAAGTAAAACAATGGTTCTAATAGACAAATGCGCTCCAAAACTAGAAATTGAAAAAACAAACTCATTGACTGTCTTTTAAAAATAAACTCTGAGAAAATGTACAAAGCTGTCTATATTACTTCACTCTCACATCTTCTCAAATTCTATAAAATGGTGCAAACCAGGCCCAAAATCGTTTTGTTTCTTAATTTGTCCTCTCCTTTGCTACTCATGGATCTTCCAATGCCAATGGCGCTGTCCGGAATCAGGCCCTCATTCCCTGATGACTGTACTGAGAACAGAAGCCTCTTCCTCTTCCAGCAGTCTCCACCGTGGTCTAGTACCAACTTTTCCATAAATTCTATTTACCTCCACTCCTCATGGTGAACCTTCCACTTCAGTAAGATCCTTCTCCTTCGGTTCCTATCCCACGTCCCCACACATACACACGACGTGCTTTCTGCCTTCTGAATCTGCAGTAGTAACCATGCCCACTTTTGCTTATTCAAGTACTATGTACACTTCAAGGTTTCAATCAAGTCTTCTCTAATGATTTCACCAAATACTCCAGTCCGCGTTGCTCACGCTTATCTCTGAAACAGTACAGTCCTTAGACTCTATACAGACTTCCCATACACAGTTATAGAATCACATGTCAGGGCAAAAAGTATCTTAAAAAGTAGTTAACCTCAGGCTCAAATGTCTTCTACATCTCTAGCATATGCTTACCCAGATTATGCTTGGATACTTGGACTAATTGTAATTTTACTACCTCCTGGAGCAGCTCATTGTAGTTTTCAACAGCCCTACAATTACAAAGTTCTCCCTTATAATCAGCTTATAGCTCTCACCATAAGCTTCAAATCATGTCATTATTATACTTTAGGATCTATAAGGAGGAAATTAAATCCATTTGTATATTCCTTACATTACAAGGTAGTAAATAAGTCACTTACCTAATCTTCTACAAATCTCAAGATATATTTGTGCCATGTGCCTTTAGCAATTCTGACATCATTGTTCAAGTTTACTCACTGTTTTGGTACTTATATGCTACTGTTTGTTATTTTAATATTTCAGAAGTGTGTCAGCCATTCTTAAAGTCTTTTACCTAGAAAATGTCAGAACTTTGACCACGTCCAGACATTAGAGCAACTTTTATTATATTGCATTGCATTGTTTTTTCTTTATGCATGTTACCTAGCGTGAGCTGATCACATATTATGTATTTAATCAAGTTGACTTTAAAAACCTCCTCTCAAAATAGTTTCCAAAGAATTGCCTACTGTAAACTGCAGTTCCTAAGCATGCAGTAATTTCTTCAGGAAGCTTACCTTCATTATAATAAGTGGAAAATTATCTTTTTTTTCCTAAAATAAATAGTGTCAGGATAGTAAAATCTCTTGCAGAAATTAAATATGCTGCAAACATCTGGGCTTGCCAAATGGCAATATAAATAAGCATAGAAAAATGCTATAGCATGGGGTCATCAGAAAGAGCACTGTGAGCCGTAACTACTAGGCCTCTGAAATGGTGTAGTGCTATGTTTTCATCAGCTAAAATTTTTGTGCTTCCCAATTAACTCAATTGTTTAGAAATCATGCTTTAGATTCCCACTACCATGTGGTGATGTTTGCATGGAGTACAGGAACAAGGCTTTGGAATTTGCCTGGACAGGTAACGCACTATGTGGTCAGAAGTTTTAGACCAACCGCTTTCACTGCCCCTTCACTGAGAACGGTTGGTACAGTAGGGGGTCAGCCTCGCTCTGGTTGTTTTTGAGAGCAATTTGCATCTCATTTTACTGATTTCACTCTCCAATTAGTACTCTCAAGCCATTGCTTAAATTATGTGTTGCTCCATAAGGAATGACATTTCCTTTGGCTGAGCAACTAGCTGTATCACACTATTCTAGCAATGATGAGCCTCACCAAGGGCGAAGCGGTGGCTGACTCTCCTGTTTTGGCAGGCCCACGGAGGAGGCACAGTGCCAGCACCTGCGGCGATTACTGACAGATTGGCCCAATTGCCACAGTTTTGATGACAATCTGCATAGGATTACCAGTCACACATTAAACAGCCTCATTTCAATTCACCAAAACAAATGGTGCCACCAAATCTACCCACACAATTCCCTACTTTCAATAACTCCACTGTTGAATTTCTCTGCCCAATTCAATGATGCAGGCCTGCCAAGCGCTGTAATGATGGATGGAGTCATTAGTATTTTAGTTTCTACACCGAACTTGAAGCCAAAGCATATGGTCTGACAGATGTTGCAGCAATAGGCTCTATTTGATTTACCCTGTAGGTGTCCACTTATACTGGACCTTCATAATAGAATACTAATGCATAACTTTCAGTCCAACCCCAGTTACAACCCTTTCATATCCTCAAGTTATAAGGTGTTCTTAAAGCAGAAACTCAGAACATGTTTATTTCAAGTTAGGCTAATGATTACAAATTACCTTTGAATGTAATCAAATCACTTGAAATGGACAAGATGGATAAAAACGCAAGTAATGCCTGTAGGCTATTACCATCTATGGCTTGATTAGCACTGCCAGTAAGTTCGTTATTTGATAAAATGTGTCACTTACTCATTTTTTCCTCATTTGTGTCTTATTCAGGTAAACATAATTAGTAAATTGGACAGATCTTAATCTTTGACAAATGTCTGTACACTCATAGATCAAGACCCCAGTCAATATATATGACATTAACATTACCCTAGAGAATTTCCCCCTGCCCACATCCAATTAATCCTTATTCCCCACAGGCAACAAGTGTTCTGATTTCTATCACCATAGGTTAGTTTTGTTTCTTATGAAACTTAATGTAAATGAAATTATAAAGGATATGACCTTTTTGTGTCTGTCCTCTTTCCAAAACCTAATGTTGCTGAGATCCATTCACGCTGTTGCATTATCAGCAGTTCATTCTTTTATTGCTAAGCAGTATTCCATTGTTTGAATGAGCCACAAATTGTCTATCTATTATCCTGTTCATGGACATGTAGGTTTTTTCTAATTATCAGTTATTATGAATAAAGCTGTTATAGGCATTCTTGTACAAGTCTTTTTGTGGGCACATGTCTTAATTTCTCTTGGGCAAATACTTAGGAATGGAACTGCTACACCATATGTTCATTTTTTGCTTATATATTCACTTTTTCCTGCAATCACTTTATCCAGTGTTCATAAGAGTTACAATCTAGTGTTCAGTAGCACCATAGGGTGACTATAGTTAACAATTTATTGTATATTTCAAAATAACTTAAAAAGTGGAATTGGAATGTCCTTAACACAAAGAAATAATAAATACTCAAGGTTACGGATACATCAATTACCCTAATTGGATCATTACACATTATATGCTTGTTCCAAAAATATCACATGTACCCCATAAATATGTACAAGTAGTATGTATTGATAATAATTTGATATTAAAAAATAAAAATAATTCAAGAATATTAAAAACATGCAAATATTGAAATATTTGAATATTTTTTAAAAGTTTTGAATTTTAAATATTTTCAATAATACTGAAAATAAATAATTCAAAAAATTCAAAATTTAAAAATAACCAACATTTCTAACCTATAAAAGTGTACAATCTAATTTTTATTTTTCCTGTAAGAAAATTATTTGACACTTCTCAAGAATATAACCAAATGCTTTTTATTATTTCATTTCAGTATAAATTATATGTTATAATTTCACTTTTGATCTTATTTCCCATAAGTAGAGCTTTATCATAGCTTCAAGTTATGAATCACAAATTCCGTATCATTGAACGTTCCTCAGGAATACAGACATCCTTCCTTATCCAAGGTCGCACTTTGGGCAGTTGCAGTTACCTTCTGTCAATCACAGTCTGAAAATCTTAAATGAAAAATTTCAGAAATAAACCATTCATAGGTTTTAAATTGCACTCCACTCTGAGTAGCGTGATGAAATCTTGTGCCATCCCTCACTTGTTAGTCATCGACATTGTGTGTTTCTGACATCCCAACCATCAAAATCGTCATGGCTCAATGATCTAGGATAGCCCCAAGCAGATGAACCTCCTTCTGACATATTGTCAGAAGGACAATAGTAGCCTAATGCTACATCACACTGCCTATGTCATTCACCTCACTTATTCTCATTATGAGTTATTTTATCATTTCACTTCATCCTAAGGAGGGTGAGTAAAGTACAAAGATATGCTACAAGAGCTCACATTCATATAACTTTTATTACAGTATATTGTTATAATTGCTCTATTTTATTATTGTTAATCTCTTACTGTGTCTAATTTATTAATTAAACTTGATCATAGGTATGTATATATAGGAAAAAAACAGTATATGTGGGGTTTGGTACTATGTGTGGTTTCAGGCATCCACTGGGCTTTTTGGAATGTATCCCCCAAGGATAGGAGAACACTACTACAAAATTAAAATGGCTTAGTTCTAAAACTTAGAAGATTTAAAAAATGTCTGTTCATGTGGAAAAAATTTACAAATCATTAACCAAAAAATGCGTTTATATCCAGAATACATGCTACTTCACTGAGCTCTCAATTGAAAAATAATCTGGAAGTTCTCTAAGGGTGACTAAAGACTTTATTCTAAATTTCTTTTTTTTTTTTTTTTTTTTTTTGAGACACATTCTCGCTCTGTCACCCAGGCTGGAGTGCAGTGGCATGATCTCAGCTCACTGCAACCTCCGCCTCCCGGGTTCAAGCAATTCTTCTGCCTCAGCCTGCCGAGTAGCTGGGACTAGATGCGCGCACCACCACGCCCGGCTAATTTTTGTATTTTTAGTAGAGACAGGGTTTCACTATATTGGCCAGGCTGGTCTCCAACTCCTGACCTCATGATCCACCCACCTCGGCGTCCCAAAGTGCTGGGATTACAGGCGTGAGCCACTGCGCCCGACCCTAAATTTCTTTTAGTGCATAAATGTACCGCATAACATATTTTTAAAAACTACTTTCCAGAAAACCTCATGATTTCACCATATTTTTAGTCTACTGACACTCAGGCTTATAAAAACATTCGATGTTGTTTTATGTATCATTAGTTCATTTAGCATGTACAAGAAGGTAGATCTACTTCAAATACTCTACAATTATATAATCCAATTCTTACAAGAAAGAACATTCCCTATAGATACTTTCAGAACTACCATGATATGCATTATGAAATTATCCTAGATTAACTCAGGCAATTCATTGTTTGTGTTTTTCCCTGCATTTTTCAATTTACTCAATTTGTATATTATTTTAGACAACAAAAACGACTGATATATTAATTATAACCTAGAAAGAATACAGAAGTGAGAGAAATTTTTCAGTTTTTCCATAACAAATTATTTAAAATATCAAATATGATCAAGCATTGTGTTCTGTACACCTTTCACAGAGTTATAGTATATCATTTTTCCTTTGAAATAGAAAATTGGCTGTTTTTCTAGTCTTTGTTACTTTAGCCCATATTTAGACAACATTTTGCCAATTGAAGCTCAATACTACATAATGTAAGTTATTTGGAGGACATATAAAGTTGATTGCCATTTGGTATTTTACCTGACCATGGCAGGTATAACAACTGTTGTATTATTCCATTACCTCTGTGGATAGACTGCAGTGACCTTTCATTGAGTGCTTCAAGTACATTCATTCTCAGTACTAGCAGCAGATATTTTGAGCATTTGTTCTCACAATGATACTTAAAGGTACCATTTTTCCCCATGCAAAACGAATTACAAGACTTTTTCATCTTCCACACAAAAAGGTTATCAAGGCCATGTTTCAAGCCACCAAAAATAACGTAAAGACCTAGTTTAGCATCTTACAGCTGGAAGGGATTTTAGTGTCTATTCAGAATCTCCTTTTATAAATAAGCAAATTGAGGCCCAGAACACATAAATGAAATCTCTAAGGCCACTGCAATTAACTGGGTTAAAAGGTTTAGGAGGGTTAGAGTAAAAGTTAGAATTCAGAACTGAGCTTCTTGAACTCTAGGCTGTTATTCTACGTGAAATGAAAATAATCTGACATCTGTTTGCATGAGTTAGCTGGTAGATTCACTTTGGAACCAGAATTCTTCCTGCTTTATTATGTTTTTTTTTACTTTTGGCAAAAGTTGAGCAAGTTTTTTAAGTCACTGCCACCTTCTAATTGATTGATATATAGATAATGATCAATCTTATCTGGTTCATTTTTAAATAATTTCATAATAAAAGTTTTTATTTTAATTTGAAAACACCCTTAGTAATTAATAGATTTCAATATTTCTTGTAGATGGGGAAGACTGATGTAAGTGAATAAGTTAAGGTAATTGATGTGGTGTTATTGAAAAAGGTAAAATAGCTTTTGAATAAATTAAGGTGAATATGCACACTACTGAAGAATGAGGCAATGTCCATGTCAAAGTGGAAGAGAAATACATAAATTCACCATTCTGTAGCAAACGCCAAAAAAAAAAAAAAAAAGAAAAGAAAAAAAAAAGAGGTGAGGTAGGGGAGAAAGCAACATAGAAGTTTCATAGAATATTTTACCTCTCATCTTTGCTACAAAAATGGCAGGAGGAACATTTTTTAAAACCATCATGAAATGGACTATCTACAAAATAGAAAGCAAACAAAAAAAAAAAATGAGCAGTATTGGGACTACCACCCACTCAGACCAGCAGGGTCCAGAAAGTCTTTGTTGCCACAAGGCAGCTGGTGACTGAGGATACAAAACCCTTTTTATTTCAATGTCACATTAAATCCTGAGGCATAAAACCAAGGGCAGACCTACAGAGCCTCTAGATCTCCAAGAAAAGACTATATAGCTCACAACTAAAGCCAAATGCCAGCTAATGTTCCCATCTAAATGAAAAAATCACTAGCAAAACGATTAGAACATATATCTAAAATCATTTTTAAACTATTATTTAGGCATAGGAAGAGAAATAAGAAAACTGACTTGACATTTATTTGATAAAACAGGTTGCACATTATACAACATGCTTTCCAGGAAAAATTATCCTATTTTTCAATCTCTGTAGGAGAAATTACCATAATCACAGAAAAAAGGGACCCTCATCTCCTTTTCATATTTGGACACAAAATATGGTATCCTGACACTTGAAAATCAAATAAGCTATAAAAGTAGTAATAATTAGATTAATATGAAGTACACCTGTTGTAACCTCCAATTGGAATGCTGGAAGAACTTGATGAAATAACACAAATATAACACCCAGCATATCAGTCATTATACAAGGTATTATTTCAATATTCATTTATTATAACCTTTATTACAACCACCTGCAAACTAATAGTTATCCCCAACACTACTTTCACCTATCTAAAGGATGTAGTAAAAAAAAAATCATGATGCCTATGTTGAAGAAATTAAACTCATCTTGTTTTTTTTTTTTTTTTTTTGGTCTCTATTGGCATTCTCATGAATTTAAAATTCACAACTTATTAAATCTCTTTCCTCATTCTGATGCAGAGAACCTAAAAAATAATAATAGAGGTGCTCAGAGAATATTATTACTTACACATCATCTAGCTTCAAATACTTCGCTCAATAGCCATCTGTTTTAGGTCCAGCTTCCTGGCTTTAGAGCTGCTCTCAGCTCCTCCCAGCCCCTAGCACCCTAGCACTGACAGATAGACTTTCTATAAATTCTCTGAAGGCAAGGCATATTTCTTAGTCTATAGTTTTATCTCAGATTCTTTTAAATCTGTTTATATGCACCATTTACAGTTCCCCAACATGTATGTTAAATCATAATTAAATACAAATGTATTAAGGAAGTAATATGTGAAAGGCAAATGTCTTCACCTCAGATCTGTGATTAACCCTCAAACTCAAAAATTTAATTGGCTCTCTTCCAATTCATACTTCCTGAAATATTCCCAAGGGTTTCTTAAAATACTTTAAAGAATTTATCAGAGTATGACAGCTCCTACTTAACTCTTGTAAATTCAGTTTTAAAAATATTATTAAATAAGAAAAAATATCATTCTTATTCATATTTCAAATGGATCTACAGAATTTTTTGCAGTTTGAATATAACAGAGAGAATTGTGTTTCACCAGATCCTAACAAAAATACTTATTAATTATTTGCTCATGTGTTTTATTTCAGAAAAGGAAATCTCTAACATGAATCTGTAATTAAACTCACGCAGACAGCCTGTCCCACTACATGCGTGTGCACACGCACACACACACACACTCAAAAGGATGAGACAACAAACAGTCCTGTTGCAATGTTTTTAAAACATAAAGTATACTCTTTAGCTCAGCTGCCAACTTGGCCTTACCTGGAGCCATAACTTGTTATGCACAGCATCTCTCCCTGTGGCAATGCACTGAAATGTAGCGTTTTGCCCTGCATTCACCTCTACATCCCCTAGACGGAGGAAATGAGGAGATTTATCTGTGAAGGAAGGGAAAAAAAAATGTATTTGTTTTCACATGAAGAAAATATGCCATGTTACTTTTCTCCAGCTGAATATTATCATTAGTGTTTTTACCTTTGGCCAAGACTAACATCAGAAAGAAGAAAACTGAGGGGCTTTTTTTGTGCCGGAAGACACCATTTCCTCTGTGACTCTCATAGTTCTCTTTTTCTCAATAGCTCTATTACTTACTGTTCCATAATTGCTGGAGTATTGTTCTCTACAGAGTGAGCACTCAACAATTGCTGCTGAACTGCTGCCATAGCATGTTGTATATGGATGATAATAAAACAGTTACAAACTTACAAGTCAAAGCAACCAAAAGAGATTAAATTGACATGAAATCAGAACCTAATATAAAGATATAATGAAAACATATAATGATTTCTAAACTACTGGCAGTGACACGGCCATTGAACTTATTAGGCTACATTTTAAGCAGTTAGATCTTTTTTTAAAAAAAACATCAATAGTTATAACCCTCTACAGCACTTCAAAGAACAAGGGAATATTTTTGCTTCTCAGAAAAAGAACACCAGCTAAACTGGTAAACTTTTTTTCTATTCCATTATAACCATAGTATAGTAATCCAAAATAAATACCCATATTAGACTAACAAAAATAATGACTGCAGTCAAAATATAAGTAAGATTTATGACTGACAAGTATCCTCTGAAACTACCTTTTAAAACTGAAGCCTCATCCATGTTTCCCATTGAAAGGAAATTTATATAAACAGCAAAAGCTAAGGCTCATGAGTAAAAAGAAAAGTTCATGGAGGGCCGTATCACCCTAAAACTGCTGTTGTGCTCAATCCACCATTTTCTGTGCACTTATGAAAGCCTTTCCTTAACACCTATCATTCAAGAAGTGAAAAATAAACAGTAGATAAAAACACAGCTCTCTTAAACTACAGATTGAAAGAACTTAGTAAGGCAGCTTGAACTTTAAATGAGATGATTTTGTTCTCTCTTTTCTTAGAATTTACCAACCACCACGTGGTATATATAATCTGACCCTTACTGGCTACATCTTTCTCTAGTGACTTACCTCTCAGGAAGAGATTTAAAATAAGGAATTCTTGAGTTAGAACATGAACTAAAGCAGCAGTTCTCAATTTACGAACTCTAGACCAGCAACATCAGCTGCACTGGAATCAGAAATGCAAATTGTCAGGCCCCACCCCAGACCTATTCAATCAGAACCAGGGGAAGAGCCAAGCAATCTGTGATTTACCACAGCTGTAGGTGATTCCGAAGCACACTAGAGTTTGACAACCACTCAGCAGGAGCACAGGTCTTGGCCCTCACAAGAGGCCCCAGCCTGCTGCTTACAATGTGTTATAGATGCTTCTCAGGGAGGATTGCTGAACAGATAACCCAGAATTCACGGGCCCTATAAAATGCTGCTTTTGGGAAATATAGGCAAAGTCTGAATTTATGCCAGCTGTTTTTTGCCTGGCTCTACTGAATGCATGCAGTAATTGTTTTTCATGGACTGTGATGTAAACACAAATTTAGGTACACCATCTGAAAACCAATCAATGTGCCTCTAAGGGCATAACAAAACTGTGTATTAATAAACCGAGTTTCTTGTTTTGTTTGCTTTCTTTTTTTTTTTTTTTTTGAGACGGAGTCTTGCTGTGGTTGCCCAGGCTGGAGTGCAGTGGTGCAATCTCAGCTCAGTGCAACCTCCACCTCCCAGGTTCAAGTGATTGTCCTGCCTCAGCCTCCTGAGTAGCTGGGATTACAGGTGTGCACCACCACGCCTGGCTAATTTTTTTTTTTTTTTTTTTGTAAGTAGAGATAGGGTTTCACCATTTTGGCCAGACTGGTCTCAAACTCCTGACCTCATGAGTTAGCCAGACATTTATTATGACAGAGGAGAAAAAAAGTAGTCCTAAATTTGGAATAAGGTGAACTAATTATTTCTCTTCATTTCACCCCAGCCCTCAACTCAGATCAAATAACTTCATGAGGCTTCTTTATATTTTCCTTTCTGTTGAACTCTGATTTGCTATTCTTCTCTGTTTTTCTAGACAATTTAATGATGCCAAAAAAATGAACAAGTCCTACTAACAGCTGCCTTTGCATGTATATTTTGTTCTCAGTAATGAAATAATTTAAAAGAATCTCCTAATAGGTATACAATTAGTTACAAGTTTGAAAAATATTTGATTCAAAAACTCTAGAAAGATATCAGTTTCCTTTTAAAACTCAATAGAAGGCTAGGACTAACAATAACAAGAGAGACAGCAAAAACCAAGTGATAAACAATCAATAGTCACTGCCAATATAAGGCAAGTGTGGAAAGGACATAGAAAAATACAATTCTTAATCACAACCTACCACAAGGATAACTCAGTACTTGGATGTCATCAATGGCAATATAACCACTTCTCCCTCCTGAGACTTCAGCTTCAAATATTACCTGTCAAAAAGAAACAGAAAATATTTACAACAATAGTTTTCAAGGAATTTCTACAGTGGAGGGGAATAGCTAAATATATGCAAAAGTAAATCTAATTTTTGTTCAGTAAGAATTAAAAATTTAACCTTATAATGTAAGTAATTTCCTAACTCTTGTACAGGTAAACAAATCAAAATATAAAATTTGAAGAAAAATTACGTTACAGAGGTTAAGCAGCTTAAATTTTTTAAGCAGTTATTACCAAGTATTGTTATATATCCTGAATAGGCAATATATAGGCAGACATAGAAAATCTCTTTAAAGGTAAACTTTCGCATATTGATTTTTTCCATTTTTGTTGTTTACTTAACATACATGGAGCACCTACTATGTGCCAAGCAGTATGTGAACCACTGAACACATTAGTAAGATAATCTGAGTTTTAAACAGCTGAATTTTCAAGGATGAGTGTCAACCAACAGATTATTGATGTTCCAGGCCAAAGGAACAAATACAATGAAAAAGATTGGGATGGCATGTTTGGAAAACTAAATAAATATAATCTCTATGGCTACAAAGGCTCAAAAGGGAAGAGATGAGATTAGAGACATAGGCATGGAAGGCCTTAAATACCATGAGGGTGAGGTCAGGAGTACAGCACTCAATAGTTTTATATCCAAGAATGTTAAGAAAAAAAAAGTTTCTAGATTTAAATATAAGCTCATTTTACAGTTTTGTAGTTATAGTCAATAGCAAAGCTTGATATGGCCTTTCTTTTAATGTGTGCTGTGGCTGGGTGCGGTAACTCACACCTATAATCCTAACACTTTGGGAGGCTGAGGCAGGAGGAGTACTTGAGCCCAGAAGTTCAAGACCAGCCTAGGGAACACAGTGAGAGCCTGTCGCTAAAAAAAAAAAAAAAAAAAAAAAAAGAAAAGAAAAGAAAAGAAAAAGATTAGCTGGGTGTGGTGACACATGCCTATAGTATCAGCTACTTCACAGACTAAGAGACTAAGGTGGGAGAATTGCTTGAACCCAGGAGTTCAAGGCTGCAGTGAGGTAGGATGACACCACCGCACTCCAGCCTGAGCGACAGAGCAAGACCCTGACTCTAAAAAAAAATAACAATAATAATGTGTGCTGTGACTTTCAAGAGAAAACAGATTTAGCATTCAGCTCTTCAATGTTGTATTTGATTCCTTTATTCATGGGGATACATACATTATTTTGGAGTATTTGCAAAGCATTTTTTAAAATGTAATGAAAGTTGATGTTTAAAGTAAGAATAGAATATAATCAAATTGGTCTAATAGAAACATATTTGGCTATAAAGTGAAAGATGATATGGAGAGAAAAAATAAGTCAATATGCTAGAAGTAGTGGGAATGGTGAGATGAGAAGAAAAAGGAAAGATAAAAATAATACTAAGGAAGCAGAGAAGGTAGAACTTACTGACTCAGTTGTGAAATATAGGACAACTCAATGATTTCTGGCTTAGACTACTAGGTGAATGATGCTGTCAGGATTCCTTCTCAGGACTAGTGATACAGAAAAGGAAACAAATTGAGGGAGAAAATAATGAAGTATGTTTTGAACATTTCAAATTTGATTTGCCTATGATAACACACAGTGGAAAATGCTTAAGTAATAACTAGATAGATAGATTTGGAAGAGAAGATTATCAGGGTAAAATAAAGGTATAAATTTCGAAGTTATCTGACGAAGGATATCAGATAACTCCATGGAAGGGAATAAGCGACTAATTTGAAAGTTAAAGTGATTGGTGAGTAAGATGGCATAAGAAGATAAATAAGAGAAGAAAACTACTGGAAATGAAAGTCAAGACTGAAAAGGCCACCAGCGGATATAAAGCCAACATCGAATGGTTAAGAAAGAAAGGGTGGTGGTACCAGGAGGTTTCAAGCAGGTCAACACTCCTAATAAAAGGATTAGGAAAGGCCAGGCATATTACAATAACAATAATTTAAAGATTTCAGATACGTGTGTAAACAGTGGCATCTAGATGCACACACATTTTAGAAGGTGAGAGCGTCTCTGATGTTATCTAATAATCTCCAGCCATTTTATTCTTTCCCATGGGAGTATCTGCCAATTCTGAGATCAGGCTATGGTTCTAGCTTAGTACAGACTGAAAACCTCTAGTAGGAGGAGGTGAAAACCTCTAGCAGGAGGAGGTGAAAACTGTGAAAGCTTGGTGCAGTTCTGCAGAAATAGAACAACAACTTGAAAATTTGGGAGGCTGAGTTTTCCAAAAAGACCTAGGTAAAGGCAAATAATATCTAACATAAGAAAGAGGTCAAGAGAAACTGAAACTAATAAGCATCACTTGGGGTTAGCTCTTAGGTATTTGGTAAACTCTGCCAGGACATTTTTACTCTGGTGGAGGAGGAGAAGTTTGATTGACTGGGCTGATAATAAGTTACATTTGTCAAGCACTTACTATATAAAGTAGACTGTCCCAAGCTACAGTCACACACATACACACACATAAATTGATTTAATCCTCATTACAATCACACGAGGTAGGTATTATTTTCATGTTCATTTTAAAGAAAAGTAATTGAACCAAGGCACAAAAGCTAACAAGTGGTGAAGCCGGGAATGGCCTGAGTCATCCTGCCTCTAGGTTGCTTTTGAAAACTTTACTACATTGCTTCTCAAGAAAAAGAAGACACAGAGTATTTCATTTAAGTAGACTTTAGAGTTTAAATTTCCTTTAAAAGTCTAAAATGTTAAGTAAATTTTAAATTTAAAAAATGAATTTCATTTTAACTAGCACACTGACTAGACATTATATTGACAAGATGGCAGCATGGTTCCATTAAACCCTTTCCATTCTCACACTACAACCACCTCAAAGTCAATAACAATGAGATAAGGTAAGCCGCTGGAATGGATGGCTCATCTCCCTTCCATCTGTCCCAATCATAAACTACCTGCATTACTTCTTTTCTACTCCAAGTTTACCCTTTGTGACAATTGATTTTACTGGAATAAGCTGAAAGTGAGATGGAGGATGGGGTCTTTGTGGTAAGCAGAATGCTTCATGATGGAAGGGTGGCCATCTATGAACACAGGAGGGTGTGCAATATGTGTGTGCATATGATTTACATTTCACATAAATGTATTTGGTGGGAACATAATTCCCATGTCATTTTGTAAATACTGGAACAAGGGCTTAGCAAGAAATAGAAAATAGTATTAAAAACTTTAAATAATGTATAACTTGAGACAACTCTGGTACAGACCACTTTCTCAGGGGTGAAAAAAACCCTGTATTATACTCCAAGCCCTCTTGTTTACAAATTCTTGAGGATTCACATAAATTTGAGATTTGAAACTTTTAGAGCTAAGTCTTAACCCCATAATATGAATATAATACAGCTTTCAAAAAAAGTTTTCTAAGGATTAAATAGCAGCATATAGAAAGGTGCTATCTAAACTAAAAGGTGTGATTGTCAACAGTGTAATACCTGAAGTCTGTATAAATGTATCCTAGGAAAATAAGTTTTATTTGCTTGTTTGTGGTTTAAGGAAAGAGAAGTTACAGAAAAAAAGTTTTTAAAAATCATTTTTTTGAAAACAATGACATTCTAATGAATAAATACACATCATTGTTGGTTATTTCAGTTTTGTTGTCAGTATTCATTAAATTATTTTAATTTCTAGGTCTATCTTAGCTTCACTTTCTTGAGTTGTTTAACTTCTTGTACTTTAAACAAGATTACTACACCCCTGAGAAAAAGTTTCATATGTGTTCATTTAAATTGAGCTTTACTCAGGACAATAAATTGAGGCCTTGATTTAAAAGGAGGCAAAATAATTGGTTCTTTATTTAAAAAAAAAAAAAGTTCCTCTTTTTAGTGACCTCATTTTCCCTGCTAAATGTTGTCTTTGCCTCATTAACGAGAGCTAGAAGAAATTTCTAAGATCAGATTCCTTTACTGCTAAAGATCTAATCAGCTTTATCACTTCAACAGAGCCCTCACCTTGTAGGGCTCTTCTGTCCTGTCAGGGAAAACAAATCTCAATAGCTTAATTACGCAAAGCGTGCTTGGGCTAATGCTCAGGTCAGATCTAATGCTTGATGTCAAGCAGTCAACCAGGCTTCCCAGAAGAAGAGAGCAATGAAAGCCATACCAGATGTCAACTTTAAACCTTCCAGGAGGCCAGCCTGGGAGCAGAATGAACAGGCTCTGCTTTCTAAGCCATTTTTACTCCACTCCATTACCTGAAACACTGAAGGTGATGATTCTAATCAAATTTTTGCTACTCCAGCAACAGTCCTGGATTATTAACTAAATAAGTGAAATAAAGTTGAATTAAACTTGGGGGAGATGGGAAACCCTAGAGAACAAGGACAACTTTTTCCTCTAGCAAACTGAATGAATCCACAGGAAGTGTCTCCTATAATGGAAAGCTGAACTGGGTGTTTGGAAGCCTGGGATCTACTATCACGTGTAACCCAAGCAAGTTATTAATATTTAACTCGGGTCTCTGTAGTCTCATCTTGACAATACTGCCTTTCCGTACATCACGGGTTTCTTGTGAAGACTGAATGGTATATGTGAAATGATTAATTAATATATGCAATATGTAATACAAGATATTACAGATACTAGAAAAATCTGAAAAAAATTTCCCCTTAATATTCTTTCAATATATCATAGTGTTAAGAGCCCAGGCTCCAAAGTCAGATATATATTTAACTCATATTCTTTTTCTTTTTTTTAATGAGACAGATTCTTGGTCTGTCACACAGGCTGGAGTGCAGTGGCATGATCTGGGCTCACCCTAACCTCTGCCTCCCAGGTTCAAACAATTCTCGTGCTTCAGCCTCCCCAGTAGTTGGAATTATAGGCACATGCCACCACGCCTGGCTAATTTTTGTATTTTTGTAGAGACGGGGTTTTAACATGTTGGCTAGGCTGGTCTCGAACTCCTAGCCTCAAGTGATCTGCCTGCCTCAGCCTCCCAAACTGCTGGGATTACAGGCATGAGCCACCACACCTGGCCTAGTTCGTACCCTTTAACTGTAACTTTAACTTATGTAAAATGAAAACTTCAATTTCTTCTTCTATAAAGGAAAGTTTATAGGGAAGATTAAATGAGATAATGCACATAAAACATTTAGCACATCTCCTGCCACACAGTAAGCATGCTATGTTAAGTGGCACCACTTTTATGAGCAGAAAATAGCCATAAAAGACACATGTACTAAAATTATATTTCTTCCATTCCCTTCTCCCTCCACTAAAAACCTAACCCCCCAATCCCAGTTTGGAAAAACATGAATAAACTAGTATTTTATTCCTATAAACCTCCTTAAATTCATGTTTTTTATTTTAATATTTAAACATTAAATTTTGCTAACGTTCAGAATAAATCACACATCTGCCTTCAAAGAACAAATGTGCCCAAATCAAAACCTATTTCTAAATATTTATGCCCAAATTTCAGTAACGAATAAAATAGGCATCTGTAACACACACAAAGATAGAATGACACTGCAGATCCAACCCTATGAGTACCAGTAAAGCACATGTATCTTTATCTGTTATGACAAGGTGTGACCTCCAATTTAGGAACTGTAGTTAACTTTGTGTCCTTAAAGCTCAAATACTGTCTATCACAAAGTAGACATTCAACAAATGATAACAAGACTATATACATCTGTGTGTATATACACATTACATATATGTGCATATATATAAAACATCATCACATAAAATTGAATTCTACCATGTGAACCTTAAACATTGTAGTTCCACAAGATGTGTCCTCAATCTTTCACTCTCTTTGCCCTATACTTTCAACTCTGATAAGATTGAGGAAGATGAGGCTACAATGAGGACAGAGGGAAATGAAAAAAATATATTTAAGTATATAGAACTACAAAAGGAAAATGGAAGTACATGGCATCACAAAAGCTTATTAATAAAAGAGTATCTAAAGGAGAAGAGATGTCAGGAACCCAATACTGGCCAAATACTACATAAAATGGTTATTGGAAATGCCCCTTATTTGTGCCATTGAGATCAGAAGTGCCCAAAGAAAGAGCGGTCTGTATGAAGAATGGAAGTGGAAACTATATTGGACAATGAAGAACACAGTGAAAGCACAGAGACACCAAGGTTAAGAATGCTTTATAGGAAGTTTGTCTGAATGGATAAAGAAAAATTTGACTAAGGATAGAAAAAGATATGGGATCAAGGAAAGGTTCAACTTTCAAAAAATTTTTCTTATTACTTTTAAGGTAAGAAACACTTAAACTTGTTTAGATATTGAGGATAATTCAATTTGGTAGCGAGTATTTGTGTATACACATGAAAGAAGTGATAACTGTTAGTGTGAAACAGGATAAAATCCAAATCACAGGCTGTAAGACAGGCTCTCTCTGCCTTTTTTTATAGTAAGAGGAAATGAGAAGATGCATAAAAATGTAATTTCTAGGACTGGTAGCCAAAGAAGTTTCCATTATATGACTACAATTTTCTCAGCTATAAGTAATAGGCTAGTGAAAAGAAGGAGTGGTTGAAGTCTGGAGAAAATTGAAAGGAGTTGAAATACAGAGTAGAAGAACAAAGATAACTGAACAGAAAAATATAGTAGTAGAATTTCCAGTTATATTTGGACCCAATTGAAATTGATAACCCTGAATTTCTAGTGATCAAAATCTATCATGTGGTGTGATTTAAAAAAAAAAAAAAACAGTATTTTTTTTTTAATTTAAGCCCAGAAAAAGTGGATAGAATAAAAGTCAGTAAAGAGTTTATGGAAACAGCAATTGTATAACAAAAGTTATCACAATGAAATCAAATTTTGATTTCATTTGATGATAAGCAAGTTGATGAACTAGCTAAAGACAGATGGTTTGATGGATTGGAGCTCTCCATGAAGTTACTGGATGATCTAAGCAAAATGAGTATAGTAGAAGAAGATAGGTTTATACTTGGGAAGTATGATACATATGCATAAAGTTAGAACAGTTGTGAGATATTACAACATCCATGTAACCAGAGTAGTAAACAGAGGTGTGACCTTTGGAAGTGGTGAGGTGAAAAAACTATCCAGGCGCTTTCCACACATATACTGATGTCGTCAGGAAGACGATGAGCCTTGAAAGTGGAGAGAGCAACTCTAAATTATGCTGGTACCCAAGTTCATCATGAGTAGAACAAAATGATTTCAGGTCCAGTGGAAGGTAATAATAAGGATGATGACGTGGTTGAAAGAAAAAAAAACTCGAAGGTGCAAAGACATTTCCCACATGATATGGTTTGGCTGCGCCCCCACCCAAATCTCATCTTGCATTGTAGCTCCTGTAATTCCCACATGTTGTGGGAGGGACCCAGTGAGAGGTAACTGAATCATGAAGGCAGTTTCCCCCATCCTGTTCTCATGGTAGTGAATAAGTCTCACGAGATCTGATGGTTTTCAGGAGATTTGAGGTTTCCGTTTTCGCTTGATTCTCATTCTCTCTTGCCAAGGCACATAAGAAGTGCCTTTCACCTTCCACCATGATTATGAGGCCTTTAGCTACATGTAACTGTGAATCTATCAAACCTATTTTTCTTCCCAGTCTCATGTATGTCTTTATCAGCAGCGTGAAAATGAACTAATACACCACCCATTGACCTAAGTTACTTGGGAATTAATATCTTCTCTTTTAGAGAATATTTGGGAAAAAGTGTCTGTAGGCTATAGCCATGAACATATGATGATTATAATTACATAATTAACTCTAAGTAAACATTTGATGTTTATTTCCTCTAGTAAAATATAAACTCACTGAGGGCAATGGATTGTCATGTTCCTCACAACATCATTGAACCACATGAATCCTGTTGACAGTCAGGGCTCAAAGAGTCCCAATATGTCACAGAAAACAACAATGCAGTATCAGTGGATTAACTGTTTTACCTAAAAGGGAAATATGAGAATAGACATTTAGCTCATTTTTGCTGAACTCACAAAATTGTGTTGAAATAATACAATGACACTTGTTTGAGAAAGTTCTAGATAATTTTCCCAAGCTATATTAGAAATCATGAAAACATAAAC